>NC_000007.14:147337167-147488682 GCF_000001405.40 Homo sapiens
ATTACTCACAGATAGGTAGCAAAAGACAAGGGAAGGTTAGGATGTATGGTGAGCCAGCCCCCACTAAGGCACAGGAAAACTGCCAAGGGCAGATGAAGTCTCATCTGTGCATATTCTGTGTTGCACTGCAGCTGAGGGCCCCCCAAAGCACATACTGCCCTGGGTTTTATACCCAGGGGCAATGGAATTGCTGAGCTAAAGCATTTCAGGACACCCTGTTCTGGGAACAATGGGAACAGAGTTCCAGCCTGTTCCTTCATGTCTTCAATGTTGCATTTCCAATGTATTCTACAGTTACTCTGAGAACTACAAGTGAGAAAGGGGCCATATGGGGACCTGTCCTGCAGTGCTGTGTGTCTTCTAAGTTAGGGTATGCAATATAAAAAAAAGTTTGAACAACAATATCTTAAAACCCCTTTTAGAAAGTCAGCTGTAGTCATGAAAAGGAGTGATTCTAAGGTCTCTACAAATTGTTATCACAAAATACCACATAGTCTCCATCACAACTCCTTAGGTCTCTGTAAGTTGTCATCACAAAACAACAAAAACAAATCCTATTTGAACCCTCTGCCATTTCTAGGATGAGCTTGCTCATTATCTCTGAAGATTTACATGGAGTATTCAAAGCCTGCAGGGTGGCTCCAATTAGTATCCATTTTGAGCATTGGAATAGAAGAAAAATAACTCTAGTCATCAGTAAAATGTCCTTAAATAGTTGACCCCTGACCTTACTGATAAAATTTTTAAATCTGCATGTCAAGAGAACTGACCTTGACCTTGACATTTGATGGGGCACTGCATCTGAGTGGTTAGAATTTGATTTGTGGTTTTATATTTAGTCTGGAAAAGATGAATAGGCTACTGTGTTAGTTAGTTCTCACATTGTTATAAGGAAATACCTGAGACTGGGTAATTTATAAAGAAAAGAGGTTTAATTGACTCACAGTTCTGCATGGCTGGGGAGGCCTCAGGAAACTTACAATCATGGTGGAAGGGCAACTCTTCACAGAGTGGAAGGAGAGAGAGAATGAATGCCAGCAGGGGAAATGCCAGGTGCTTATAACCATCAGATCTCATGAGAACTCACTATCACGAGAACAGCATGGGATAAACCACCTCTATGATTCAGCTACCTTGAAATTTTAAAAACTTGAAATTTTTAGCCTAAGTATTTCTTTTCCTCATGTAAAAAATTCACAGAATCAAATAAAATTACAGTGATTGTCTTAATCACCTTTGAAGAGCAAGGGCAGTCTACACTGATTTTTTTAAACCAAATATAGAACATAAGAAGAAAGAGTGCTCTTTATTTTATTGTGAAGTAAATGCCCTGGTGATTGTTAATAAGTCAAAGAGAAGTGGTTTTGTCACAGAACTGTTAGAATTTAAGTAGTATATTATTAAAGCCTATTAGATCACCATACTCCTTTTCAAATTTTTAATAGTAAGGTTTCAAGTCTAATTTAAACTGAAAACGTTACAGAGAATAACTAAAACATTTTAGGAGACTTTTTTCCATACTAATTAGCATTTTAAATCAGCCTTTCAGAGTACAGGAAAAAAAACTCCATAAAATTTTATTTTTATTAAGTGAAAACTAAATATTCTGCCAACACAAATATTTGCTAATATGTATACACATGTGTATGTAGATATATAAAAAGTTTGGAAGGACAGGGGCCAAACAGAAAATGGGGGTCTTGAAGAGGGCTGGGGGTAGGGGGAGCTCATATTTATCATGCTTCTGTATTATTTGAATACTTTTTCATGTACCATTTACTTAATTAAAAATTAATAAAATCATCTTAAGGTACTTGTATCTGTATTTTAAATATATTTATTCAAATGTATTTTAAATGCTGCCTTACAAGAAATACAAACAGCTTCATATAAACAATTCTATCATCATTGAAATGTCTACTTTGACAAATTTTGAATTCACATTCATTGTTTTTAAATAAGTTATATTATTTGTTATTTATAAACAATAACTATTGCTATTGCTGTGGTTTGGATGTGATTTGCTTCCAAAAAAAATGATATTAAAATTTAATCCCCTATACATCAGTGTTGTGAGGTGGGGCATAGTGGAAGATTTTTGGATCCATGGGGGCAGTTTTCTCATGACTAGGTCACCCTCCTGTGGGGGTGTGTGGATTCTGTTTTGCAGGAATGGATTAGTTCCCATAACAGTAGGTCATTATAAAGAATATGACTTCTTCTTTCATTATGTGAACTCTTTGTGTATGTCAGCTCCTCTTCTGCTTTCCACCATGAGTGGAAGCAGCACAAGGCCCTCACCAGACACAGCTGCCCAGTCTTGAACTTTGCAGCCACCAGACTCCATGAGCCAAATAAACTTTTCCCTCATAAATTACTCAGCCTCAGGTATTCTGTTATTGCAGCACTAAACAAACTAAGACGAGTACTAAAAATAAAATATTCATAGGTGAATATTGTAAAAATTATAAAAGAAAAAATTAAATATTCTGTGTATACAGAAATCTGAGTTTAATCAAAGCAAGAATTTTTTTTCCTTCAGAATGTAATAATAATCATTTAATGGGCTTATTTCCAAGTTTTACTTCTCTAAAATCAAACAGTAGGTCCAATGAATGTAATGTGCTTGGCATATCCTCAAAATAAATTTGCCCATTTGAGAACATCATAGAGATAATCCAGTAAATTGGCCAAAGAGGTCATAGTAAGTGAAAAGGCCTAAATTTGAACTGAGTCAGCTTAGCTTGGAAGCTCTTGCTGTCTCTCTCAGATAAAAGCTCCTGCACTGCAGTAAGCAGCTGCATCTACATAAGTGCCGGACTTTTCATGTCCAGCTAATCTACCACATTCACTCTGTCACCAATGGCATTGGACACATTCTGATTCCACCCTTTCTGTTTCGCTTTGGCTAATAGATCCTTTTCTAGCCTGCATTTACATAAGAGATAAAGATACTATCCAGTAGTAACTTTAACCTGAAGGTACAGAAAACAATTCTGTGTGTCCATTATGTTTGAATATCATGTATACCCTGTCAAAGGGCAGCTTCCCTTACTCCTAAGTTTAAGGGAATCTGCTCACTGGTCCCCTCACATGCAACAAGGTTGTTCTCTTAATGTATGCTAGAAAGGAACCATATTTTAGCACAAATATGTGTCCTTTATGTAAAATGTCACACTTTTAAATCACAAAATACATACCCCCAAGCAACTCCAATCATAGGAAGCTCTTCTATAGATGATTTTCTGTGCTTTTTATTTTTATATTCTGTAGGAATACTCTTTAACCAGATAATCTCATTGGTTCAGCCAGTACCCAGGCTTCTAGATGCTACATTTGCACATACTAAGCAATTTATCTTGGTCGTGGACATGTTCAACTCATCTCCTCATAGTATCTTTTGCACTTGGAGAAGTAGGAGCTCCTTGTCAACCTCTAGCCATTAAAGAGTCTTCTGAAGTTTATCTTATATGTCCTAAAAACACTTATATGTCCTAAAAACAGTGACATATTCTGTCATTGTAACAAATAATGGTAATTATTCATTTTCTTTCATATATTTAAATTGGGATAAAGTTTAAACTACCATTTCACACTATTTTTTCAACACTCTCTCCACATTATTGACAGTTCAGCTATGATACAGTATACAATCACTATCTTTTTGACTATTGTCTAAATACTGCTTGCTCTGTCAGAAATGACCTCCTATCTATCTCCTGAGGTTCAGTTTCAATGCCTCACTTCCTATGACCTTACTCTCCCCAGCTCTCATCAGCTGCCACCGCTAGATGCTCCTCCCTCTAGGATTCCATAAGAATTTGTTCATATTTCTATTAACACATTTATTATACTACTTGAGACTAGTTATAGACATGCCTGCCTCTTCCAGCATTGTGTGTTTGTGTGTGTGTGTGTGTGTGTATATATATACATATATTTATATTATAAATATAGCTCTAGTTTCTGGGGAGAATATCTGCTCCATTGCAGCCATGTAAAAATTGTATGTAGACAAGAACAGAAAACCAAACACTGCATGTTCTCACTCATAAGTGAGAGTCGAACAATGAGAACACATGGACACAGGGAGGAGAACATCACATACCGGGGCCTGTCGGTCGGTGGAGGGCTGGGGGAGGAATAGCGTTAGGAGAAATACCTAATGTAGATGATGGGTTGATGGATGCAGCAAACCAACATGGCATGTGCATATCTATGTAACAAACCTGCATGTTCTACACATGTATCCCAGAAATTAAAGTATAAAAAAAAAATTTAAAAAATAATAAAAAGGGAAAAACTGTATGTAGAGTGAATAAATAGATTAAAAATGGAATTGTCTGAGAAGTTGGTTGAACTTCTTATGAACTTTTTTCACAACTTATTTAGGTTGATACAACATGGACTTCAAGAGCCTGAGGTTTTAGAATCAGAAAATATCTGATATGAGCTGAGACTTTTATTAGCATTGAGAAATTGGCTAAGACTTGTTAGGATGATCTTGATCAGTATCATCTGATGATTTTTTTTTTAATATACAACTCCTACCCCAAACCCAACAAGGTTCTAATCTAGGCTATCACACACACACATACACATACACACACACACACACACACACACACACACACAAATGCTACAACACATCTAAATATAAGAAACCATTTATTCATCTTAAAAGTTGACTTACATTAATAGTAATGCATTAAGTATATACATTAAGAACTGTCTTAATCAGTTTAGGTTGCTATACATTGCCATAGACCATGAGGCTTAAACATCAAACATTTATTTCTCACAGTTGTGGAGGCTATAACTTCAAAATCAGAGCACCAGCATGGTGGAGTTCTTGATGAGGGTACTCTTCCCGGTTTACAGATGGCCAGCTTCTCACTGTGTTTTCACATGACTGAGAGAGACTGGAAGCTTGCTGGCATCTCTTCTACTAGGGACACTAAACCTGCCATGAAGGCTACACTCTCATAACCTAATTATATCCCAAAGGTCCCATCTCCAAATCCCATCACATTTGGGATTTCAACATATGAATTCAGTTCATAGCAGGAGCAGAATGTAAATAATGATAATGGAACATGCAATATTTGCTAACTTATAAGGCTTCTAATGTATCTAATTTAAAGACATATATTTGAGTTTTCTTTGATCAAAGAAAAAATATGTCTATAAATGAATGTCAGCTATAAAAACATTTGCTTATGATCTGTCATTTCCACTTAATGATAATAATGTTACATTGCATCCATGCTGCTTTTTATTTTCAAGGCAATTTCACATACATTATCTGATTTTTCAACTGGTGGCCAGTTTAATGTCAGAAATGTTTCCAAGCTTCTATTTATATTTGGTTGTTTAAAGAAGATTCTATACTTATATGTGGTTACACATGAAACATACATTTACTTCAGCACACCAAATCAGTGAAACCCGTAGCAATTTCAGTTGTGCTCATCCAAGGACAAAATTAGGTTTTAGGATTTAACCCAGGTGGCATAATAAAATTTAAATAACTTGTTTACCTGAGAGCAGCAGCAACAAAAAGAGACAATCAGAAATACAAGCCACAACAGAACAGTAATGAAATGTGATCCTAAAAATATTAATAAGTGTTGACCCTCTGAAATAAAATAACTAAGAAAAGGAAAAACAAAACTAAGGGTGCTCCCAAAGTTGATAAACAATGCATGAATAAATGAGCCCCTCCACTGTATTCCTTCCTTTATATATATAATACATATATGTAAAAGTGATGTATATATCACTTTTTTCACGGGTCATAAAATTTGTATGTTAATAATTTGCTTGTTTACCATTCTAATGTGTTAAAACCTTATACACCTTTGATTTTCCCATTGATTACTCTTAAGCAGATTAGGCAATCAATACATGTTTGTTGAATTGCACTGAACTTTTAAGCAAGGGTAAAATGATGCCAGCTAGAAGCCTATATATTGTTTCCTGAATGGTAAGCAGTTCAACCAAGAAAAAAAGGTGAAGCAGATCGCTTTCTTTGCTGCTGTTATTCGTAACAGTCGAATACAGGTTACCGTGTTTTTTTCAATATAAAATATGGTTGTCCTAGCCATAATCTTGGTCTCGTGCTAAATATATTATTCATGACATATAATGAGTAGCTTACTTTGTAAAGAAGATGTAGTGATGTTAGCAGTAAGAGTGAAATTGGCCATTTCCCCCTCGTAAAGCTGTGTCTTCCCCAAGCAATAAAATATGGCTTGGTTAAGTGGAACATGTGGATAAAAAGATGAATTGCCCACTATCTTGGAGCCTCATTTTAATATTTAATTTTACTTTGGGCACATCCTGATACACTAGAGAAAGCCTTTATTTACTTTTATTTTCCAGCATTCATTTTGTTGCTCTGAAATATACCAAGTACTTTACTAAGTGTTAAATTAGTTTTAATATTGTGAATATAAAGTTTTAATTTTATGAATAAGTTTATAGTACTGAAATCACTCAGTGCGGCAATGATAATACTGATCTTGGACCTGATTCTCGATTCTCCCTTTTTTGGCAAAATATGGTGCATGGGTGACATGACATTTCATTAATTTCCATTCACCAGGTTAATTCTCTATTGCTTATCTTCATGTGAGTGTGTGTCTCTGTGTCACTAGGACCACATAAATGGGGGCATCAAAACTACAGACCACAATTT
Organism: Homo sapiens; assembly: GCF_000001405.40. Lineage (NCBI taxonomy): Eukaryota > Metazoa > Chordata > Mammalia > Primates > Hominidae > Homo > Homo sapiens. Next base: position 147,343,868 of record NC_000007.14, read on the forward strand.
CAAACTGTCCTTCTAAAGTGACCAGATTTAAAGATCAAGACCAGTCATTTGGAGATGAAATGAAGAATGCTGATAATTATTTATTACCTATTACCTGCCAGGCATCCTATCAAACATATCACATGTTCTCTCATTTACTCTTCAAATCAACACTGGTGTTCATATTTTGTAGATGATTTGCTGAGGCTAAGGGAGGTTAAGCGACTCTGAAAAGATACCATAGCTAAAAAATGTCAGAGATGAGACTGAGTCCCAAGACTTTGTGATTTTAAAGCCCATGTCTTTTCCACTGACTCCAAAGAATGAGCAGTTGCCAGTAGCGCTGATTTAGAATCATCAAGCAGTCATGTTGTCTCACCATTTTCTCCCATCACCCAAAATTCTACCCACGCAGCTCTGTTATTTTAGCAAAAGACTCTAAATGCTATTAAAATGCAGACAAGATACAGTGAATGATAACATTTAAAGATATTTAGGGTCAGTCCTTTTCTTCTTAGGCTGACCAAAAGCTAAGAGGATAAATTGAACTGGCTGATTAGGCAGAGGTAACACTAGGAAAAAAAAATGTTTAGAAAACTCGAAAGACAGATTTTAACTGCTTCATAATTTTTCTCTGGGCTATTGTTATTGCTAGTCTTCAGAGAAGCTTGTGTGGCACAAGGAATACTAAGTGAACTGAATGATCTGAAAGGTATATATCAAATGTGCTGTTAAAGGGTCTTTATACATAGATGGTAAAACCCCATGATAAAACTTTTGTAGATACTTCAGCATTATGCAAATGATTGATCACTTTATGAGACAATTTTGAATAATATGTGTGAAATTAGTTTTCTCCTACTTGTCTTAGTTCTTTAAAGGATTAACAGCATCCATTATTCTTTGATGTTATTACTGTTAATATTTTTGAAAATTAGGGACTTTTTTTAATAAACGTACATTAGGATCAAAATATTTCACATATCATCTGATTCTTCTGTTGACCTCTAAGTGATGATGATGTAGTTGACAGATGGTAACCCTGCATATCCAAATCAACATCTCTTTGTTTTGTATGTGTCATGTAGCTTTTTATTTTGTTACTATAATTAAAGTAACAAAATTAAAGATCCAGGTTATTATATAAAATTTTCAGGAAACTATATGTCTTTTTCTAGTTTGACATGTTTGTGTTTTTATCCATTTCTTGGTGTACACATAAAATTTAAGTATGTGCCATGGGTTTATGAGCCAGTACTCATAATGCATCCTGAAATTTTCCAGTGGCAGATATAAATACAGAGCTGTCATATTTACGCTGAATTATAAAACAACTGAAAACAATGAAAACTGGTATATTCTGAGTGGGTGGCATGTTAAACCCACACAATTTTGTCATGTTTACTTTTATTTGTACTCGTTTGACAGCAGGGAGAAAGTACTCTGCTTAAATCTATTTCGATAAGATAGTTTTAAAACTTTATAACTTTATGTAAAAGCTTACATAAATTCCCTTTGCTGTTAGTTGATTGAAAATGGAATTCTTTAGTCACACATAGGTAATTATAAAATGAATGTCCTTCCATCAACATATGCTTCCTTGTTTGGATCAAATATATGTCTTCGCATTTGTAGACATTTTCCCTTACTTTTTTGTTGAACTTGTGAAGTGAATGTTAAGTTTATGTATTCAATTATGTGGCGTGTTACATACAGAAGTTTTCTCCCAACTGCAAGACTTTATTTTGCTGGGTTAAAACACTTGGCTAACATATGGTTGCCAAAGATAAGGTGCCTATTTAAAAACTGATGTTCAAAAAAGCTGGTCAGTGATAGTTTTTTTCTGTTTCATTAAAGACAATACATGCTTTCTACTGTTTTCTTTTTTTCCTTCAGCAGAGTTACTATAGAGGAACTATATTCAGATTATTTGTAATACTTTGGAATTACATTTAAATTTATCACTGTATTTCCATGTTTGAATGTCAGTGAGCATGTAGGAGCATCACATAGTTATTTTGTAGCAAGGAACTAGAATCTAACCCTCAAAGAGATGGCAATTTTAAGCATCCTGTGTATTCCTATATGCTTAAGCTCAAGCTTAATTAATTAATAGGCCGCAAACAGTTAATAGGTTAATTTTCTACCCATTAATTTTACGAAATTTGAAAGAAATATTTTTGATAGCTGCAAAACGTATTACATTTCTACAAAGGAAAACTAAATATGACATTGTAAATAGTGTTCCAGACTTATTTTTGGCTGTGTCCCATAATCGAAGATTTTATTTTATTTTATTTTATTTTATTTTTTTTTTTTGAGACAGAGTCTCGCTCTGTCGTCCAGGCCGGACTGCGGACTGCAGTGGCGCAATCTCGGCTCACTGCAAGCTCCGCTTCCCGGGTTCACGCCATTCTCCTGCCTCAGCCTCCCGAGTAGCTGGGACTACAGGCGCCCGCCACCGCGCCCGGCTAATTTTTTGTATTTTTAGTAGAGACGGGGTTTCACCTTGTTAGCCAGGATGGTCTCGATCTCCTGACCTCATGATCCACCCGCCTCGGCCTCCCAAAGTGCTGGGATTACAGGCGTGAGCCACCGCGCCCGGCCCATAATCGAAGATTTTAAAGCATTAAAGTTTATTCATCCCTATTGTCAATCCTATTCTTTCTGGCTATATTCATCAGTCATTGCCTTTTCAGTAAAACATATTAAACATATTAAAGGGATCTGAAAACTTACATGCAAATGAGTTGTGTGAATGTGGTGAAGAGAGAGTTGCAGGATGTTCAGATACAATTTTTTCATGTTAATTTTATCTCAGAAACTTCAGGGACTACCACAATTTACACAGCAAATTTTAAAATTTATAGACTGACATTTTGTTTCTTCTTTTTATTTATTTATTTAATTTTCAACCTTCAAAGAGTGGATCTAGACTGACCTTTCAAACTTTGCGTAGTCTTTTTCAAATTTATCTTTCAAACTTTATTTTCCACTTGCTCCACTGCTCCATTGCTGTACCATTGCTTTTATCACTTTTTTCTCAAACATGTTACTCTTAGTCCTGTTTTTACTTGGTTGTAGTCACTGTTATTCTCCTAAAAATCATGCATTCATTCATTATCCTATTATGAACAAAAAATACACACTAGTCATTGAGGATATAAAAATGAAGAAAACATGAATTCCTACATGGAGGAGCCTATTGTTTAGTGGAAGAGATATAATTACAGAGGCAAGGCACTAGGGTAAAATTATCTTATCTGTTTTCAGATTTTGATGATCAACAAATCATTGGTCCTTCCCTATAAGAATAAAGGTAGCTATTCCACATTAAAAAATAAATATGAGCCATTTGTGGAAGTCATCTTCCCTTGATGGTGAGTGAATGAGGAGGGTAGTTGTAGGTCAATCTTGGTCAGTGGACTTGTTTGCAACCCTAAAAGAGAGCTTGTGTTAGGACAAAACACACTGAAGATAATGAGTGAAGAGTTGTGAAGAATTTGAATTCTATATGATGCTGATGGGCACCAGAGACTACCTTACCTCTGTATTTCCTCTTATGTGAAAAGATTATATATATATATATATATGCATATATATATATATGCATATATATATATATATATGCATATATATATATATGCATATATATGTGTGTGTGTGTGTAGCGTTTATTCCAATTTGTCAAAGTATTCTTTTGCTTGGATCCAAAAGTTTCCTAACTTACCTAAGTACCATTAAAATAATCAGATACTACCAGAAGCAACCTACAGATTCAATGCAATCTCTATCAAAATAGGAATTACATTCTTCACAGAAACTGAAAAAAATTCTAAAATGTGTGTGGGATCACAAAAATCCCAGAGTAGCCAAAGCAATCCTGAGCAAAAAGAAAAATGCCAGAGGCTTTGCGTTACCTGACCTCAAAATATACCACAAAGCTTTAGTAACCAAACCAGCATAATACTGGCCTTAAAACAGATACATGGACTAATAAAACAGAATAGAAAACTCAGAAATTAATCTACATGTCTATACAGCCAGCTGGTTTATGACAAACATGCCGAGAACACTCATGGGGAAAGGGTAGTCTCTTCAATAAATGGTGTTGGGAAAACTGGATATCCATATGCAAAAGAATGAAACTAGACCCCCACCTCACACATAATCAACTCTAAATGGATCAAAAACCTAAATGTAAGACCTGAAATAATAAAACTGCTAGAAGAAGACATAGCGGAAATGCTTCAGGATGTCAATCTGGGAAAAGATTTTATGAATAAGGCCTCAAACACACAGATAAATAAGGAAAATGAGATTATATCACAGCACAAATCTTCTGCACAACAAAGGACATAATCAACAGAGTAAAAGCCTACAGAATGGAAGAAATATTTTCCATCTACTCATTAGAAGATTAATATCCAGAATATACAAGGAACTAAAGCATCTCAACAACAAAAATATATTTTAAAATGGGCAAATGATCTGAATAGACATTTCTCAAAAGAAGACATACAAATAGCAAAAAAAAAAATGAAAAAAAATTCTCAACATTACTAATTATCAGGCAAATACAAATCAAAAATCACAATAAGTTATCGCACCGTCAGTAGGAGGCTATTATCAAAAAGATGAAAAATAACAAATGCTCACAAGTATGAAGAGAAAAGGGAACTCTTATATGCTATTGGTAGGAATGTAAGCTAGTACAGCCACTCCAGAAAAAAGTATGGAGGTCCTCAAAAAACTACAAATAGCACTACCATATGATCCAGCAATCCTACTAATGGGCGTTTATCCAAAGGAAAAGAAATCATTATAGCAAAGAGATATCTACACCCCCATGTTTATTGCAGCACTATTCACAGTAACCAAGACATGGAATCAACCCAGGTATCCAACAACAGATGAATGAGCTAAAAAATGCGGTATATATACACAATGGAATACTATTCACCTATTAAAAAGAATGAAATCCTATCATTTGTGGCAAGATGTATGGAACTGGAAGACACTGTGTAAGTGTCAGGAATAGAAAGTTCACCACCACATGTTCTCACTCATAAGTGCAAGCTTAAAAATGTTGATCTCATAGAAGTGAAAAGTAAAGCACAGGATACTAGAGGCTGAAAGAGTAAAGGCAAGGGAAGATAGAGAAAAATTTGCTAAAGGATACAAAACTATAGCTAGGTAGGACGAGTAAATTCTGGTGTTGTATACCACTGTAGGATAACAATATTTAACAATAATACATAGTTTCAAATAGCTAAAAAGAGGATATTCAACATTTCGACATTCTCAACACAAAAGATGAGTTTGAGAGGATGAATACGCTAATTATCCTAATCTGACCGTTATACATTATATGTATTGAAACATCACTGTGCATTTCATGAATAGGTACACTTATTTGTCAATTAAAAGTAAAATTTTAAAAAAATCAGAAATATTAAAACAAAAGATACTATTAGCAGCTTAAATATGAAGGGACCTGAATTCTCAAAAAGCAAAAGTAGATAAAACTGTGAGAATTTCAACTCTAAAAATATACTTTTCATAAGTTAAACAATATTTTTCCTTGTGAATTTTTAAGTTCAAATAATAGTGACATAGGTGCCTGCTATTTTGTAGGGTGAATTTCATTAATTTTATGACACTTGGATTCCATAATAACCTGTCAAGATAGATAGAAAAAAATATATAACATTCCAAATTAAATGAGAAAATTGATAATCCTAGAAATGTATGTTATTTGTAAAAATCAACATTATAGTGCAGATATCCCGCATTTGATTATAAGAACTCTTCTCATTTGTCTATCTGCCATACTTCTTATTGGAACTCAGAGCTGATATAATAATTCTGATGGTTTTAAAACTATCTGTGAACATATGTACTACCCTACCATTTGGTGAGTTTAAAGTTTGGAAATCATTAATAAATGATATTCCCATTAACAAAATAAACATCACTGAAGATATATGTTGAGAGATGGGAAGGAGTTGGTGGGTCAAGAGAGACACTCTTTTGTCCTTTGTCCCTGTCTACAACACCATTTTGTGGTCTGGCTATTATTTCATAGTTACCACTACCATCTGGAAAGAAAGATTATCCCACATGCCTGGGCTCTTAAATTATTGCAATATTTTTTGCATGAATAATGAACAAATTTATAAATTATAACATCATTCCTGTTATGTTTCTAATATGAATGATATTCACTTGCAAGTGTAGGGCCTTTGCCCTGATTATAGATGTTAGAAAAGAATATGTGAGAGGTGTTATAGAAATAACTGAAGTAAGAATTTACACGTTTGTTATTTAGTAAAAGTCAATATATTTCTAAAGACTTGAATAAAACAAATGCAATTTTGTACAGAATTCTTCAGTGCATTTTCTAATTTCTCCTCTCTGATGTGAAAATAACACAAGATTTAGAAATCACCTGCAATAAAACATGTTTATTTACAAAGTGAAATAGTTTATGTTGTATTAACTTAAATTTTCCTATTTCCGATGCCCAAGTAATACCCCTCTAAGCGAATCATGATTATTGACAAGTTTACTTTTATACACTTTATAGTACTCATTTCCCATAAATAATGTATGATTCTTTAATAAAATTGATAAATATTCAACTCTCAATAAGGCAAAATCCTATGTATTCAAAATAAAATTTAATTGAACATTAAAATTCTTGTCTAGTTCCCATTTTGTGTGTGTGTGCACGTGTGACTTAGGCTGTTTTTCCTGACATTTGTGAAGTCAATGAGTTTTTCTGCTGTACATTAGTTTCTCCCCTTCAGTGCTGCCTTACAGTACCCTATTGTATAAAATATGCATTCAGTAGAGAAAACAATATACTGCAGACATCAGACTTAAACAAAACACTTTTTATTGTTGCTTTAAAAACCAGACTTTACACCCCTGCACTGAAAATAGGAACTATTTGTTCCTAGTCCATGTGCCTGGACCAAAGCATTTTAAAGTACCTAAAAAAATTTAAATTTATAAATTCAGGTTTATAAATTGACCTTATTGACCAATACCTATAAGTCCTTTTAACTTTAGAAAACCCTCCACAAATAACAAATATGATCATTTTCATTTGGCTATTTTTAATATAAATTAATTTTTTCTTACAGAAAGGAATGAAAAGTTTTATTAATTAGAGCACTTACTTAAACCAATGCTTTCAAGCAATCTTTCTTTGGAGTCAGTGATTATCTTTGGCTCTATACCAAAAACTTCAGGTATTTTTTCTTCTTTGCAGTGTTTTAAAATGTATTTGGTTGGGTAAAAGTCACTGTTTTTAGGTTTCAAAATGTTTCTACAATATATTAAGCCCTGATATATACTAATTTACCTCTTTATGATTTGAGTGCTAGATTAGTTTTACACCTAATAATGTAGAAAAAAAATTTAAGCTTATAAATTTGTATATATTATACTAATTTCTGAATATAAGCACAGGTGATAGCTTATTATATTTGTTCATATGCAGCTCCTGGAATAATCCTAGAACAACGCATAGTTTATAAAAAAAATAGAAGGGGAGTAGGAAGGAATGAAAGGAGAGAAAAATAGCATCTGAGCAGTCTGAGAATTTCACAATAATAGCTGTTCTAAAGTTTAGATGACTATAAATTATTCTTAAACAGTTATGTTTTGCCTATGTTTAATATATATAAAACAGTAGTATTTGTATTTCTGTAATTAACATTTCTCTAGAAAACAGTGTTAAATATATATTTGTTATAGTCTAAATTTGTGTTCATAACATGTAAATTGCAAGCATGAGTTTAGAAACTCATGATTTTGCCCCCTCCTTTAAAAATCAGTTAATCAATAATTTGTATTGATGCACTAGAACTCCAAGCAAGCGTCTCAGAGTGTTCTATCACAAAGAATTATTAAAAGGAAAGCTTCAAAGCTAAATCTTCAATGGTAGCTAAAGAGCAGATAAAGACTATATGAATCTGATTCCCCAAGACAAGAAGTTCTTATAAATTAAAGGCAAATAGGCAAGTGATTAGGTAATATGAACATGTGATTTAAGGTGAAAATCTTCTTTCAATGGCCGTGAATAAATCTCCTTTAAAGACATTATATTGTGTTCACTAAATTAAAATGTGCCAATTCTTCAATGATCAATGGCAATTTGTTTTGCTTTAATTAGCTGATAAAACAAATGAATAAATAGCATCAGCTAAGGTCATCTGTTCTACCTGTTGCTTTAGGTTAATGTGTATTTCATCCTCAGATTCCTTAGCTCTCAGAAATTTGACTGACATGACTCAAGGAAATAAAAATATTTGAAATATGTATATAATTTATAACATAATGTTAGTTTTATGTAAAAGCAATTCAGCAAGTCTGAAATTACTTTTCTGCAATGACTATAATGTAACAAATAGAAATAATTTGTAACACTGTGTTCTATGTCAATTGTACTTAAACACTTTTGAGATATGGCAGAGGATCTTGCTTCCCTCAGGACTAATAATGTACACTTCATCTAAGTCCAAATTTTAATTAACAGTTCTTGTTAAGATAGTTTTTTCTACCTCTAAACCTAATCATACTTGGTATTTAAATGGCATATTCAATAAAAGTTGTCCCATTTCACCTGTTTTGAAGTCAAAGGTTTTTGCTTTAAAACATTTTTGAACTAGCTCTACAGTTTTTAGAAGCTGTTTAGGGACTTCACATACTATATGCAGGAGTAAGTAACTAATTGGTGCTATACTTTATGGTATTGACACATTCAAAGAACTTCATTGATTCAGTACACTTTCTCTTTCTTAAAAACATGAGACCCTTAACCATGGTAGAATTCTCATTGTTAATTTATTTTGGCTGCTCTATTGCCTGTTACTAAGTTATTCTGTTTCAAGGGCAAAAGTATATTTTTTCCACATGGAAAAAAATTCAAAACCAGGCAGTAGATAGATAAAATTATTCTTTGCCATTAGCATGCTAAATAATAGTATTGCAAACAGCAGTTCACTATGCACAGCTTGATACGATAGATGAAAATATTAGTTTATGAATCTGATACTTAAACTTTACTAAGTAAAGTTAGTAAAGTAAACAGTCTTTACTAAGTAAAGACTGGGTTCTTTAAAGCCCAACCTTTGGTCTTTTGAATCGTTCTCTATAGCAATTAGTCACTCATATAAAGTGAGATATTATAAACCGCAACTCTGTTTCAGCATGTAGAATTCTTTATATATATATATAGACACACACACACATGTATATGTATATATACATACATATACGTATATGTACATATATATATGTATATGTATACTTTAAGTTCTGGGATACATGTTCAGAACGTGCAGTTTTGTTACATAGGTATACACGTGCCATGGTCGTTTGCTGCACCAATCAACCTGTCACCTACATTAGGTATTTCTCCCAATGTTATCCCTCCCCTTTCCCCTACTCCCCGACAGGCCCCAGTATGTGATGTTCCCCTCCCTGTGTCCATGTGTTCTCATTGTTCAACTCTCACTTATGAGTGAGAACATGTGGTGTTGGTTTTCTGTTCCTGTGTTAGTTTGCTGAGAATGATGGTTTCCAGCTTCATCCATGTCCCTGCAAAGGACATGAACCCATCCTTTTCTATGGCTGCATAGTATTCCGTGGTGTATATGTGCCACATTTTCTTTATCCAGTCTATCATTGATGGGCATTTGGGTTGGTTCCAAGTCTTTGCTATTATGAACAGTGCTGCAGTAAACATATGTGTGTATGCGTCTTTAGAGTAGAACGATTTATAATCCTTTGGGTATATACCCAGTCATGGGATTGCTGGGTCAAATGGTATTTCTGGGTCTAGATCCTTGAGGAATGGCCACACCGTCTTCCACAATGGTTGAACTAATTTACACTCCCACCAACACTGTAAAAGCGTTTATATTTCTCCACATCTTCTCCAGCATCTGTTGTTTCCTGACTTAATGATCGCCATTCTAACTGGTGTGAGATGGTATCTTATTGTGGTTTTTATTTGCATTTCTCTGATGACCAGTGATGATGAGCTTTTTTCATGTTTGTTGGTCGCAAAAATGTCTTCCTTTGAAAAGTGTCTGTTCATATCCTTCGCCCACTTTTTGATGTTTTTTTTTTTCTTGTAAATTTGTTTAAGTTCCTTGTAGATTCTGGATATTAGCTCTTTATCATATGGATAGATTGCAAAAATTTTCTCCCATTCTGTAGGTTGCCTAGTCACTCTGATGATAGTTTCTTTTGCTGTGCAGAAGCTTTTTAGTTTAATTAGATCCCATTTGTCAATGTTGGCTTTTGTTGCCATTGCTGTTGGTGTTTTGGTCATGAAGTCCTTGCCCATGCCTATGTACTAAATGGTATTTCCTAGGTTTTCGTCTAGGGTTTTTATGGTTTTAGGTCTTATGTTTAAGTCTTTAATCCATCTTGAGTTAATTTTTGTATAAGGTGTAAGGAAGAGGTCCAGTTTCAGTTTTCCGCATATGGCTAGCCAGTTTTCCCAACACTATTTATTAAATAGGGAATCCTTTCCCCATTGCTTGTTTTTGTCAGGTTTGTCAAAGATCAGATTGTTCTAGATGTGTGGTGTCATTTCTGAGGCCTCTGTTCTGTTCTATTGGTCTATATCTCTGTTTTGGTACCAGTACCATGCTGTTTTGATTACTGTAGCCTTGTAGTGTAGTTTGAAGCCAGGTAGTGTGATGGTTACGGCTTTGCTCTTTTTGCTTAGAATTGTCTTGGCTACATGGGCTCTTTTTTGGTTCCATATGAAATTTAAAGTAGTTTTTTCTAATTCTGTGAAGAAAATCAATGGTAGCTTGATGGGGATAGCATTGAATCTGTAAATTACTTTGGGCAGTATGGCCATTTCCACAATATTGATTCTTCCTGTGCATGAGCATGGACTGTTTTTCCATTTGTTTGTTTCCTCTCTTATTTCCTTGAGCAGTGGTTTGTAGCTCTCCTTGAAGAGGTCCTTCACATCCCATGTAAGTTGTATTCCTAAGTATTTTATTCTCTTTGTAGCAATTGTGAATGGGAGTTTGCTCATGATTTGGCTCTCTGATTGTCTATTATTGGTATATAGAAATGCTTGTGATTTTGCACACTGATTTTGTACCCTGACACTTTTCTGAAGTTGCTTATCATTTCAAGAAGTTTTTGGGCTGAGACGATGGGGTTTTCTAATATAAAATCATGTCTTCTGCAAACAGAGACAACTTGACATCTGGCTTGAGGAGCTTTAAGTGACCAGATCATGGCCATTGTTTCGAGTAAAGTGGAACCCGTATACTTGAGGGACGTGGTAAGACCAATGACTACTGGGTAAATAATGAAACTAAGGCAGAAATAAATAAGTTATTTGAAACCAATGGGAACAAAAACACAATGTACCAGAATCTCTGGGACACAGCTAAAGCACTGTTGAGAGGGAAATTTATAGCACTAAGTGCCCACAGGAGAAAGCAGGAAACATCTAGAATCGGTATCCTAACGTTACAATTTAAGGAACTAGAGAAGCAAGAGTAAACAAATTCAAAAGCCAGCAGAAGACAAGAAATAACTAAGATCATAGCAGAACTGAAGGAGATACAGATACAAAAAACCTTTCAAAAAAGCACGGAATCTAGGAGCTGTATTTTTGAAAAGATTAACAAAATAGATAGACTGCTAGTCAGATTAATAAAGAAGAAAAGAGAGAATCATATAGACACAATAAAAATGATAAAGGGGATCTCACCACTGATCCCACAGAAATACAAACTACCATCAGAGAATACTGTAAACACCTCTATGCAAATAAACTAGAAAATCTAGAAGAAATGGATAAATTCCTGGACACATACACCCACCCAAGACTAAACCAGGAAGAAGTCAAATCCCTGAATAGACCAATAACAAGTTCTGAAATTGAGGCAGTAATTAATCTACCAACCAAGAAAAGCCAAGGACCACACGAATTCACAACCGAATTCTACCAGAGGTACAAAGAGGAGCTGGTACCATTCCTTCTGAAACTATCCTGAACAATGGAAAAAGAGAGACTCCTCCCTAACTCATTTTATGAGGCCAGCATCATCCTGATACCAAAACCTGGCAGAGACACAATAAGAAAAGAAAATTTCAGGGCAATAACCCTGAGGAACATTGATGCAAAAATCCTCAATAAAATACTAGCAAACTGAATCCAGCAGCACATCAAAAAGCTTATCCACCATGATCAAGTCAGCTTCATCCCTGGGATGCAAGGTTGGTTCAACATATGCAAATCAATAAATGTAATCCATCACATAAACAGAACCAAAGACAAAAACTACATGATTATCTTAATAGATGCAGAAAAGGCCTTTGATAAAATTCAACACCCCTTCATGCTGAAAACTCTCAATAAAGTAGGTATTGATGGAAGGTATCTCAAAATAATACCTATTTATGACAAACCCACAGCCAATATCATATTGAATGGGCAAAAACTGGAAGCATCCCCTTTGAAAACTGGCACAAGACAGGGATGGCCTCTCTCACCACTCCTATTCAACATAGTGTTGGAAGTTCTGGCCAGGGCAATCAGGCAAGAGAAAGAAATAGCAGGTGTTCCAGTAAGGGAGGAAGTCAGATTGTCTGTGTTTGCAGATGACATGATTATACATTTAGAAAACCCCATTGTCTTAGCCCAAAATCTCTTAAGCTGGTAAGAATTCTTTATTTAGTATTTAGTCTAGTTTTAAGAAAGTCTTCTCTCACCTACCACTATTGAAGTTTTATGGGAACACAAATGATATTATAGTCTAAGTGAAAGACATGTTCATAGTAGGCTTACAAGAAATATTTCATGAAAAAACACTTTGTACTGTAAAATTTGTACATAAGCCATTGACCATTTTTTCATGAGGGAAAATATAATGTCATAATTCGGATTGGTATTTTAGTGAAATGGAAGGTCGCTGTATGGCCTCTTCCTCATTCAAAGTTTGTGAAACTCTCTTCTCTTTTCTTTGAGGCTGTGTCTTGAGCAAAGTTTTACTGCAAGTTGGAACCAAACTGAGATCAAATGGCCACCAGTTAGTAGTGACATCTGGAAAGTCATCTTCTGTATTGGGAACTCACCTAATACCACTTGAAATTATATCCTTGTCTTTCATTCAAACTCTGACCTCCATCTTTCTGATTGTAACATAGTCATCAAAACCTGCTAATTGCTCATCTTCTTGTAAGTTATTTATGTGGATGACCTCAGCGAATCTTCTCAAACATTCTATGAGGCAGGTACTATTATTATTCTTTCTGGGTCTACCCCTTTGTCCTCTAGCTATTTTTTGGAGAGCTGATAAGTGAACTTGAAATCTGACTACAGGGACTTTTCTAATAACCAGATAACTTTATTTCTCTCTTCTTGATATATTTGTTTTCTGTGCTCCTGCATCTAGACTGGGTCGTGATAAAGCTGAGTCCAGCTGTAGGGCCAGACAGAGCCTTCCTCTCCACACAGCATTCTTAGCATTGTGGAGCTCGGCTTCAGGAAGCATTTTCCTTACTTAATAGAAGCTGTTGCTCCTCTTCATGGGAAGTCTTGGCAATGCCAGTGATCTAAGGTGATGGAATCTGTTGATCCTACATGCAGCAGCAGTCGGTACTGAAATGAGTAATATTTTAATAATTTTTTTTTGCCCTTTCTTCTTCCAGTTTTGCTATTCAAGGTGATGTTTCTTAGTCTTCTGCTCCTTAATTAGCACCTGTTGACTAAATGGATCAACAAACCTATCCCACGTGTGACTTACTCTCCTGGACACGAGTCTTGTTTTATAGTCTAGCTTAGCAGACTTCCCACTGGTTTCTGTCATGATACTGTCCATCTAGTGAACACTTTTTTTGTTATAATTTCCTCCCTCTAAACTTCATACTGTTAAGTAGTTTCTGGAGTGCAGGATTTTTTTCTAAAGTCAGAACAGTGGGAAATGAGTTAATAAAGCTTCTACGTTCCTTGGAAAGACCCCTGAGAGATACTTAACCAGTTGCCTGCTGTGTAAATGTTATTGAGAATGAAAAACAAAAAGTAAATTTACAGCTTCTGTTGTGTCCACATCCATTCCAAACTAGATGCACCATAACAAAAATAACACTTAGAACTTTAATTGTAGTATCTGTGAAAAGGCACCAGTGTGATTTATGTAATAAATTGGATACTAAAAACTTTCTTATGATATCATGCATTTAAAAATTAGGAAATGACAGCCCTGAAGGTAAATGTAACTTGAATGATAGCATTTTCCCAAAAGAAAGCATTAGTTTTCAAATAAGTGTACTTTTACCAATTTACCAGTAAACAGATCTTGTCACAGAAATACATACTTATAAAAACTTTGGACATATTTGAAAAATAAGCAGATTTTCTTAAACCTCAGTTTTTGGGTGGTCTTATTTTCCTCTTCTCTATAAGCAAACCTTTGCCCATCAAATAGATATGTACTTTTTAATGAAAATATCATATGGTAATTATATTACCCATAAATTTCTCCTATGGAATTTTCTAGTAAGTAGGTGTTATTGTCACAGAAATACTTATTTGTAAAAACATAAAGTAAATTAATCATTATATGCTCATTGAGTAAACATAGCTGAGTAATAGGTTGCAGTCATTTTTAACACAATTTAACAAATGTTTGAACGATCTATAATTTTTATTCATGTGTGATTTATGGCATCCATTTTAACTAATGTAAAGGGTAGATGATGAATATTAGTATCAGTCAATTCCAGACTTCAACCTTAATACACATAAAAGTGACTACCAAGCATTTTCTCCTAATTAAAAAAAAAGCAAATTTTATTTATTTTCAATGAAATTTTAGCTTCTAATAGTCTTCAAAAGCTATGTAGTTATTATAATAATGTTGCCATTCCTCAAAAACATTCTCAGGCTGCTTTGGAATCACCTTAAGCATTTATTTCTGAAAACCTATTCATGTACTCCCTAAGCATAGATGAACACAATGGCCTCATTTGTTAAAGCTGTTTACTCCTTGTTTGGTAAAGCTGAGCTCACAAGTCAAAACCGGCCTGCAGACATACGGTTTTGGGCACCATAGTGTTTTCTAAAGGGATTTTAAGACCATTAGGCACATCTAGCTCAAAGGTAATTGTCTTATACCTGGCACACTTCATTTTAAACTTGCTTAATCTCTAGAAACCTATGCTTTAGTTATCCCTAAACAAGCTGAATATTTAGTTTACTTTTCTGCATCTCATAGTGA
This sequence comes from Homo sapiens, assembly GCF_000001405.40. Taxonomy (NCBI): domain Eukaryota; kingdom Metazoa; phylum Chordata; class Mammalia; order Primates; family Hominidae; genus Homo; species Homo sapiens. The sequence continues at coordinate 147,359,122 of NC_000007.14, forward strand.
TGTCTAATAGGCATCAAAATCACTCAAAACTGTGCTCTTAATCTTTGTTCATAAACCTGTTCTGTTTCAGTTTTCTCCACCTCTGTAAATGGCCGCTCTATTCCAATTACTCATACTGTAAAACTTGGAGTTCTCTTTGACTCAATCATCAGCAAATCCTGTTGCCTTTATCTTAAAAGTATGAGCAAAATCTGCTACCTGCTGTCCCGAGCCCCTATAGCTGTCACCTCGCTTTACTGGCTTATCACAGTGATCTTTGAATTCATCTCCCTTTTCCACCCTTCTTTGCCTATAGCCTGCTCTCAGCACAATGGGCAGAATCATCCTTTTTTAAAACACAGGCCAGATCATTTTACCCTCTCCTTATGACCTTTCAATGCTCCCCATTTTACTACTAAAGAAGTCACATCCTTGAATCAGCCTTTAAAGTCCTATACAACAGGTCCTTGGAATGTTTCTGACCCACCCCATGCTATTTCTCCTTCATTGCCTCTGCTTTAACTGTGCTCTTTGTTTAGCACACTGGGAACAGTGCTGCCCCAGGATCTTTGCACTTCCTGTTCCTTCTGCCTGGAATGGTCTTCTCTTACTTGCTCACATGGCCACTTGTCTCCTCTTCTTCAAAATATTGCCCAAATGTCACCTTCTTGATGAAGCCTTCCCTGACCGCCCTAAAGTAGAAACAGCCTGCCACCCACCTCTCTACTCCCTAACCCTCTTTTCTACTAATTTAATTATTTTTTCATCCAAAACTCTTACCTCTCCTAATATGATATGTTCTTTATTCATTTGCTTATTGTTTTTTATAAACAACATAAACTTGAATATAAACTTGATTATAAACGTGAAAGTTCAAAGAATTTTGTCTGTTTTTTTAACTGCCACATCTTTGGACACTGAATGAGTACCTGGCATGCAGACACAATCGTATATTAAAGATAGGTGTTTCTTTCCAAAACTCCTAACAATCCTAGAAAACTAAAATATACACCACTACTAGTATTCAAAACATCTTGTTTATGCATGGCTTCAAGCTTTGACCTAATTTGTTTATATATGTCCCTATATTCAGTTACTGTTTTCATAAACTTTATTTATAACCCCTTAGCTTTCATCCTGTGTCTTCATCCTTGTGGTTCAGCAATGATATCTAGTCTATATCTTGGTATATAAATAATCATTGAATTTTTATGATATTTCAGTATGTTAAGGTCTCCTAAAGTTGAATATTGTAATCTTAATCTTTTATTTATCCCGTGTCTCCTGTGATTCATATATTTGAAAGTAAATTTTAATTCTTTCTCCAAAAGTGTGTTGACCATACCAGTCCCTATCTTTAAAGACATGAGATAATTTTTCAATATTTATTGTGCATCTGTAATTGATACCATTGGCTTATTTTCTTGATTAACTCTTACTACTTTAGATTTCTCTATCTAAGGCATTCATGGTGCTTTTTTCACTCTTTATATATCCTCAGTGTACCACATTCCTTTCTACCATAAATATTTCTTTTGAAAAAAAAACTCTCTGTACCCTCTGTAGATGTCACACTGTGTTCTTTCTGATGTCTCCATGACCCCTATGTGTTCATGGATATTTATTAATTTTATATAGTGACTGGACACTCCAGTGAATTCTCACCAGCCATTTCGACCCCCCACCTGCCATTCCAACTCCCCATCCCTAAATGAAATCAGCAGAGAGAAGATTAAGGCCAAGGCAACAAAATTATATGAAAAGGTATGTAGGTGGTCGCAGAAGGGGTCAGAGAAGGTAAGTGGTTTCCTTGAACATTACCAATGGGTTGGATTCATCCATTAGAAGGATTTTCAACTGAAGGTCATGAAGCCCAAAACAACAACCAAAGGTTATATTATACCAATGAAGGGTGTAAGAGTTCACAGACATAAAGGCTGGAGATTGTAGAAAGCCAAGAAAAGTCAAAGTGCTGGAACTTATCATTTAAAGAAAAAAACCTAAAATATAGAAAACCAAAAAAGATTAACTAAATAATCTGGAAGTCCAAGGACAAGAGCTACACAGTGCAAATGAATTTGGAAAGCAATTATGAAAAACTTTCCTTTAGGATGTATGATCTTCTTGAGAGCTGTATACTCTTTTACCTATTCTGAAAAGTACCTTAAGCTAGCAGAGTCCATGATTTTCTGACAACAATGAATTTTATACATTCTTGCTATATGAACACTAATAATATAATGTTAGGTTATTCAGTTTTGTGTGCATGCTTTGCAATTTTCAACAAGATGTTCCATTATTCGATCTGTCTATCTTGTTCTTGCTTACTCAGAGATTTCTAGGAATGCAATCTATACCCTGTATAATTTAACTTTTAAGTCACGTTGTGTTAGACAAGAGTTATGCCTTATCTTCTCACTAATAATAAAGTGTCCTAGGATTAATTTTATTATTTAGTGCATAGTTCCCTAGTTGTATATATTACTTCACAAAAAACAACCTCAAACTTATTGAGTAAGATAGTCTTATTGAGTAAGATAAACTTACTTATTGAGTAAGATAAACTTGAATATAAACTTGATTATAAATTTGAAAGTTCAAAGAATTTTGTCTGTTTTTTTTAACTGCCACATCTTGAGTAAGATAAACTTACTCAATAAGATAAGATAGTCTTATTGAGTAAGATAAACTTATTGAGTAAGATAGTCACCTTTTTTATTTTTAACAATGACATATTGATGAGTCAGGAATTTAGACCCAGAATATTGAGGATGGCTCTTCTCTACTGCATGATATCAGATGGCTAAGGGGGTAACTCAAAATTCTCAAGAGCTGGAGCTGGAATCACCTGACAGCTTCTTCACTTCTGTGTTTGACACTGAGACTGGGAAAGGTGAAGGATGCATTCGGCTGGAACAGTGGGCCTGAGCCCTCACCTGTGGCCCTTCCAACTAGAGAGTCTCAGGCTGGTTAAGTATTTTATATAACAGTGCAGGGCTCCAAGATTGAGTGTTTTCAGTAAAGGAGTAAGCTTTGTTATGGTTTGTTTTGAGACTAGGTCTCGCTCTGTCACCCAGGCTGGAGTGCAGTGGTGCGATCACAGCTCACTACAGCCTCAAATTCCTGAACTCAAACAATCTTTCCACCTCAGCCTTTCAAGTAGCGGGGATTACAGTTGCATGCCACCACACCAGCTAATTTTTCTCTTACTCTTAGTAGAGACAAGATCTCACTCTGTTGCCCAGGCTGGTCTCAGACTCCTGAGCCCAAGAGATCCTCCTGCCTCGGCCACACAAAGTGCTCGGATTACAGGCATGAGCCACCACTTCTGGCCTAAGCTGTATTATCTTTTATGTCCTAGCCTTAGACATCACATAATGTCACTTCCACCATGATCTGTCAGTCACAGTAATCATAAACATTCTCAGATTCCAGGGGAAGAGTTGTAGACTGGGATGGATATTGAGGCATTTGTAGCTATAATTTAGAACTGCCACCTCACCTACAGGCATACTGACTGAATGTTCTTTACTCCTATTCCTTATGTTATCTTTAACTATTACAGTAGTTGCTGAGTGTTATGGAGTGCATATCTGTGTCCCTTCAAAAACGTCATAAAACGCATACCCAAGGTGAAGCCAACTCTAAAACTGCCTGTCCTAGATACAGTTTTTGGAAACATGGCATTGGAGAATTGAGCCTAAATGGATAAAGAATTACTGGCATAATTTTTGTATATTTCCCTAAGGCCCTATAAATACTATAAAATGAAATACAGAAGTTAATAAAAAAAATTAAAAAAATCAAGAGTCAATTGAGTTGGAAATGACTTCAAGACAGAGTTGATAACAATATATGCTTTATCAAAGAGTCTATTCAGTGATGACTGAATCAGATTTATACTGATCCATGAATTTGAGGTACAATCAAGATGAAACCCTCACCTCCAATGGGTCAGTGGGTCTGAACCTTCACCTGTGGCTCAGGTGATAGCATCCAACGGGATGCTAATACGTGGTGGGACCTTTGGAAGGAAATTAGATTCAGATGATATCATGAGAGTGTGGTCCTCATGATGGGATTAGCACTCCTATAAAAAGAGAAGGAGACTAGAGCTTACTCTCTGCTGTGTGAGGATATGGTGAGAAGATACTGTCAACAAGCCGGAATGCAGGCCCTCTCCTGACACTGGATCTGCCACTGCCTTGATCTTGGATTCCCCAACTCTGAACTGTGAAAAAGGAATGTTATTGTTTAATTCATTAACTCTATGGTATTTCTTCATAGCAGCTCAAACTAAGACACCTATTTGTAAAGAGAATGTGACTGTTATTTGTCACCCCGTATAAAGACAGTTACACAGTTTAATGATTATTTCCATATTTTTCTAACTGCACATTAGCTGAGGCATAATTTTTCTTGTACACATTCTTTTTTAAAAATGTTCTCTTTATTCTGATCATACCTCAAATTCATGGATCTGTATAAATCTGTATGATTCAGTCATCACCAAATAGACTCTTTGATAAAGCATATATTGCTATCAACTCAGTCTTGGAGTCATTTCCAATTCAATTGCCTCTTGATTTTTTGTATGTTTTCTATTAACTTCTCATTTTATTGTATGGCATTTATAGGGCCTTAGGGAAATATACAAAAAAAGTAATTATGCCAGTAATTCTTTATCTATTTAGGCTCAATTCTCCAATGCCATGTTTTCAAAAACTACATCTAGCACATGCAGTTTTAGAGTTGGTTTCACCTTGGATATACCTTTCATGACATTGAAATTATATAAATCTTTAAATAAGCTTTTTGTGTTATATAGACCTCGCTTGTTTCTGTCAACAGTTGGCGTATGCTAGTTTGACCCCTACATTGTCCAAGTTATTAAATAACTTGTAGAAGATCACTGAATAGAATACATGCTTGTAGAAAAGAAATGCACATCAAGTAAGATTCTAGTAGTTTTTCTTTCCCTTATGGTTAACAGATTTTAAGATATTATCTCTCATCAAATAATCATGTTGAGAGCTTACATTATCTTTTTATATTATCTCTTTCTATTTGCTTACATAAGCTAGTCTACATGCTGCTAAGAAGAATGTGGATAAAAGATCCAAAATACTTGGTAATAAGTATTCATTGGAAATGAGTGTCACTGTGTAATATTGCCAACTTTTTCTAGTTTTGTTATTTCCATGTACACACTGAACACTTAGAAAATTATATGTGTAACTTTAAGTATTTGTTCACATATCATTACATACATATACAATTGTATATCAGCTGTCAACCTGCTATGATGTTTTCTGGTGTTAAAAGGGACTCAGTTTCTTCTATGTCATGTGAAGAAACATGCTGTCATCCATCAGACTGTTTTACATTTACATAATAAATCATGAAATTCCAGACAGTGTTCACTCATTTATGGTTGGTCATTCCTTGATGTTAATGGAAGACAAGGCTTATGAGAATATTTCACTTCTTTAAGTTCTGTTGGTTAAAAATATTCCTAACCAGCGGATCACAAGGTCAGGAGATTGAGACCATCCTGGCTAACACGGTGAAACCCCGTCTCTGCTAAAAATACAAAAAATTAGCCGGGAATGGTGGCGGGCACCTGTAGTCCCAGCTACTCGGGAGGCTGAGGCAGGAGAATGGCGTGAACTCGGGAGGCGGAGCTTGCGGTGAGCCGAGATCGCGCCACTGCACTCCAGCCTGGGCGACGGAGTGAGACTCAGTCTCGGGAAAAAAAAAAAAAATTCCTAGCCATGTTAAAAATTACTTTGGCGTTTTAAAAATGTTTAATTTTGATATACTATGTCACAGGAACAAAGAGTTTATAAAAGAATTTGTATTTTTTTAAGTAAAAGAACCCTTATAACCAAGAGCCAATTAGAGATGTTCTTCTAGCAGCATATAGACTATGTAAGCTAGTGTGAATTTGGGATATTTTTTGTCATTCTTTAATTTCTATTCTTTACTTAGTTTTTCCTGTTTTTAAAACTTATATGAATAGGCCGAGTGCAGTGGCTCATGCCTGTAATCCCAGCACTTGAGGAGGCAGAGGCAGGCGAATCACCTGAGGTCAGGAGTTTGAGACAAGCCTGGCCAACATGGTGAAACCCCGTCTCTACTACAAATACAGAAATTAGCCAGGTGTGGTGGCGGGTACCTGTAATCCCAGCTCGAACCCAGGAGGCGGAGGTTGCAGTGAGACGAGACCAGGCCATTGCACTCCAGCCTGGGCAGCAGAGGAGAGACACTCTATCTCAAAAAGAAAAAAAAAAAAAAAAAAAAAAAAACAAAGAAACTTATATGAATAGAAATATAAAGTCGTTCCTATTGTTTCTGGCTATTGTCACACATTATCTTTGTCAGATGAATGTTTGAATTAATTAATAAATATTTTCTACTATTCTATTTCCCCCATCTTTTTGAATGTTATAACTTCACTTTCTATTATTTTAGTGGTTACCCTAAAAATTAAAACATGGATATTTAATATGTCAAAACATTATCAGTCTCTTTACTCACCTCTTAGATATTTCAAGAACTTTAAAACACTTTCTAGATTTACATTATAGTGTAAAATATATATTCTAGATTTTTAGTCTTACAAAGTTATATTTCCTATTTTATAATTATTTGTTCATTTCTATCAACATAGTCACCCACTGTTTCCCATTGCTTCTAGAATCTCAGAAGGAAACAAAATCCTTTAGAATTTCCTCTACTTAATGTTTCTTGATTTTTGTTTGTCTGGAAATACATTATAATCTGTTGCTGATTTTCCTAGTTCTTGAATTATTTGCCAGTCTGTTCTGCTGGCTTTCATTCTCTTTCCTTAAATAGTTGGCCGTTTTTTATTCGGCACTGATTATGATGCTGAAATAATTATTTGTGTGAATTCTTTGAAGTCTATGGTGAAGGTCCTTTCCTTCATCAAGAATTTTCATTAGATTCTCCTGGGTACCTGGACTCACAGTCATTATTTTAGATGCAAATAGCATAATAGTCTTAAGGCTATTCAGGCGTGCTGTTCTTTGTAGATATTATATCACAATCTGTACTTTTATCCCATTCATTAGATTTCCAAAATTTTACATAAAGTTCATAGGATTCTCATTAGCTTTTTAATCTGGAATGAATCTAAAGTTTTGCCTCCACTTGAGCCTTCTCCATTTTTTTCTTTATCTGTCTCAATGGAGATTTGTCTTATCTTTCCAGAGAATATGTTCTTAGACTCACTCATTCCTCTCATCAGTTTTCTATTTTAGTAGACTGTAATTTTTTTCATAATTTTCATAAAATCTAATTTTCTCATAATTTCCTTTTCTCTGCCTTCTTTGTATTACCTTTCCTTTATTTCAGTAGAGTATAAATTTTTTCATAAAATCTAATTCTTTCATAGTTTCCTTCTCTCTGCCTTCTTTGTATTGACTTTTCATTTTTGTTACTTCTTAAGATGAATTCTCAACTGATACTATATTCTTTATTTTTAGTATAAGTAAAACAATAAATTTCACTTAAATCTTCTCTTCCGTTGCATCTCACAAGTTTTGTTATGCAGTACTTTCATTATTGTTTAGTTATGTTCAGTATCTTTTGATATCCACAATCAAGTTTTATTAGTCCAGGTATGTTTTTAAGTGATTTTTTACGAATTTGTTGCACGCACACACACACACACACACACACACACACACCCCAATGTTTATTAGTGATTTCTAATATAATTGCATTATAATCAGAGATATTCTTAGACATTTTAGAGACTCGCAATATAATTTATTATATATCCACTTTCGTAAAAGTTCCATATTTTCTGGAGCGGACTGTATATTTCCTAATTGTCGGCCAAAGAATTATTTATATATCTTTAGATCTCAAAAGTTTAGGTGTGAAGTTTATTTTTTATTGTAGGATCAAACAAGTTAATTTAGTTCACAACCAGCCTGGATGACATAGTGAGACCCGGTGTATACAAAAAGCACCAAAACAAACACACAAAAGATAATTTAACATGGTGACCACTCTCCAATGCATTGTTTTAATTAGTTTTTCTTAAAAACCAACTTTCTCCTGTTGCTTTATTTTTGTAAATGTCTTTATTGAAGAGAGGCACATCAGCAAGGAAATAGGGCCACATCCTATTGGAGGGAATTCCGAGTTCTAAAATGCACCTCTACATTGGCAGAGAAATGACAACCAGTTAATGAAAACGAGTGTTTGGCAGCTGTTGTCTCCTTTGCCTGAGGCCGTTCTCTAGTGTCACAGCAGGGTAAAGATGTGTGAAAAGTTGTATGACCAGATGGCCATGAGATCCAGAATGCCTAGAAATAAAAGTTCTAATTGATTCTGCAAAAGAGAACTTTTAAAATTGCTATAAGGCTAGTCCCAGCATGATCCAGTACATGATTAAAGAACATAATAATATTAAATAACAGCAAAACTCAAAGCAGGAAGAAAGATTGTCCCATGCTATCATGTGACTCATCCACACAACAGAAAAGGCAAAACACACTCAGCAAATGGAAGAATTTACCACCCTTATTCTGGCCACTCATCACCTAAATGAACCTAAGCCATTCCATCTCAGGACTGTGCCAGTTATCACACTTCCGGCTCCAGTTAAGAGAATGGTGGGCAAACACTGGTTAAACAATAGAGGGTTTTTGTAAATTATCATTTTTAAAAAATTTTATGAGAAGCCTGAAAAGTGGGAATCCTAGATTTGGTTAATGCCATGGACCATTGGTGTTAGACACTTTACTTTTCACTCTACCATCTGTAATGGGCTAACCTTTGCGGTCAGGTCCTTCCAGGCATGGTTGATCTCACATAGCCACATACAAGGATGAGGAAAAGCCTTTCTTTCTTTCTCTCTCTCTCTCTGTCTCTCTCTCTCCCCCCCCTCCCCCTCCTCCTCTGTCCCCCTCCCTCCCTCCCTTCCTCTCTCTTTCTCTCCCTCCTTTCCTCTCTCTCTCTGTCACACACACACACACACACACACACACACACACACAAATATACACCATCAGTGAGAAGTATCATGCCAGAATCCCTAACAGATTTTATTTTGGATCTTATTAGTCAGGATTAGTCACCATGTGCTAGCTACATAGAAGCCTGGGCAGGGAAGTCTGTGACAGGTTCAGGGTCATTCTGGACAGCTGGTCAACTCTCTAAGCACAGAAGGAGGTAGAGGACAATTGAGTAGGGCATCCCTGAGGATATTCTGAAGAATGTCAGTTGAGTTGTGTTGGGTTTGGTTTTCTGTCTCCCTGCAAACAGTGGCAAGCCTGGAAACTTGCTTTAGCTCTTAAATAGTACTTTTGTACTTACTTGAAATATAGAGTGTCTAATATTTTGAGGCATTTCAATGATGGCAGCCTTGTTCTGTAGATGTTACAGAGAGATAATGAAACACTCCCACTGCTTGGTTCCTGTCCTTTTCCTCTGCCCACGGCCCGGTCAGAGCTGGAAGGGTCAGTCTGAGAGCAGGAGCAGCTCTGGCTACTGCAACCTTTGGGCAAATCACTTAACCTTTTTAACATGGAAGTCTTCATTAAAATAAGGGCATGCATGTATCAAGGGCATTGTTTGACTTATGTGATTATCTCGCAGTTGCTTTTGCCAATCACATCTTTCTAAATACAAAAGAGTTCCTCTTATTGCTGAAGCACCCAGCTAAAACAGAGTTGGTATTTCTCACAACTCATTCAGTGTAATTAAAAACAATTAATAGATACCTACTATGTATAAGATGCCAACATGAATAGATCATAGTTCCTTTCCTTGGGGACCCACAGTAGAGATACAGTTATTGAAATGTAAATCAATACATTAAAATGCAAAACTTGTGGAAGGCAGAGAAGTAGCAGAAAGGAGGGATGCTTTGCTGAAATTAGGTCACAAGTAGTAACTTGCTGAGTTTAAGGACTTTTGGACTATGGTCTATACAACGGAAAAAAGTATGGGAGACTTTGAATACTTTCTAACCACGTTAAATACTTTATAACCAGGTTATTTTATAGACACAAAGTAAAGGATATTTTATAACCATGTTAGAACTTGAAAAAGCACTTGCTATTTTGGATTTAGTTTATTCCTTCTTCTTTTGTGACTCTTTATTTCCAGCATCGTATTGGATATCTTCTCATGAAGATGGCATAGGCCTTTCAAACTGACCATGTCCAGAACCAAACTCATTCTCTGTCTCCCCCAAGCTAAACGTGTCTCATTTGTTTTTGGTGCAAGTTACTGACATGACCATGAACACAGTCACCAAATAGAAACTAAGGTTTGTTCATGAGACTTCCCTCTTCCTCTCCTACTACACACATCCACCAGCATGTACGATGAATTCTATAGTAAATCATTTCTCAAAATCGTTTCTGACTTTTCTTTCTCGCTCCCTTACTCTAAGTCAAGAATCAGCAGTCTGTTTTTCCATAAAGGGCCTAATAAATATTCTCAGTTTTGGAGGCCATATGGTCTCTGTCAAAATTACTCACCTCTGCCATTGTAGCACAGAAGCAGTCGTAGACAATATGTAAATGAGGGAACATACTCCTGTTCCTCAAAGTTATTATTTCTAACAACAGATTGCACTTGGCTTAAGGGTCATAGTTTGCCCATGCCTGATTGAGGCCCTCCTCAACTTTCACCTGGATTAATATTGCAGCATATCTCTAATTGGTCTTCCAGGCTTTAATTCTGCTCTACAATCTCGCCTTTGTATTTACCTGCATAAATAACAAATCGAATTCATACTGTCTGTATGAAAAGAAATCATTGCCCATAAGAAAGTGATATTTCCTAGCTTGTCACACGTGGTCGGTCCTTGCGGACTTAGATTCGTGTGGCTCTTTGTGGCTTCCTGTTCCAGCCCTTGTTGCTTCCTGTAGTCCTCAGAAATTCTGTCCCTTGCCTCTCCCCAAACACAGTAACATCTTCCGTATTTCCTACATGGTTGCAGTTGTCACCTCAGTGTATGGGTCACTCACTTATATGTGCATACTCTGTGTGCATGAGAGTGTGTGCGATTTGCTACAGATTTTAATTAAAAATATTATAGTCATATGCATGATTATATTTGTGTGTACTTAAATATATATGGAAGAAATGGACAATGACGTGTCCATGACAACAGAGATACTGTTTCCGTGCATCTGTATTTGATAAATTCTTAGTCATCTTTTAAGACAGAGCTATTTTGTGAAGCCACACCACACGTCCTTGGGGCAGTCATTGTCTCTCTGAGCACCCTTTGCACATCAGTCGTTTCTTGTCTATCACTTGCAGTGGTGTGCTGGAGCTTGCTTAGACTGGCTCAAGAAAACTGATGGTTAAATTTTCAGGAATTCCGTGAGTCGCTTGTTAAATTGTTGTAACTTGAAATTAACCATGATGGGAGTATCTACAATAGCAGATGCTACAAACCAGGATGTGTTTTTAGGGTTTATTTTGTTGGAGAACTGGTTGACCAGCACACCACTGAATCTTTCCTTTTCTGATCGACAACTATGTAAGACAATATGCCTAATAGATACCCAATATATAGATACATAATAACCCTTAATCCTTAGTATGTTTTAGATGACTCAGTAGACTTCCTGACTACTGTCTTTACCAATGTTCTATTAGATGAGATCAAAAGATGCATCTTTACATTGAATTTGATTTTAGTAGAGAGAATCACTTATTTTTTTAATTAGAAATTAAGCTGCATTTAGAAAGTTAAAAAATAATGATTACTGATTTTACATTTAAGTCAACTTTCAATATGCTTAGTATTACCAATTGTTACTTTAATAAGGTGTTTTTCTGGGAACATTGCTTATAAAATACTATTTATATGTTTTTGTTTGTTTAGCTCCAATATCAAAGAGAAATAGCTATATTGCATGTGCTATAACTGACTGTCAATGAATGGGTAATTTAAAATAGCCTCAGATGCCTCAAACCTTAACGCTAAATTCACCTCACAAAGGGAATTTATTCAATCCAAACGCCCTCCTATTGCTTAAATGAAGACATTGATATGAAGATTCATATCTGAAGTTAAGATATTAGTAAATCAAACAATGTAAAATTCACGACCATATATATCATACGGATTTGGAATTAGCTGAGTGATCTACTTTTGTATATTTTTGTGGTTAAATTTAAGCACTATACATTTATGAGAATGATTTTCTAAGAAGAAACCCCATTTATTTTCTAAGAAATTGCAGCCTACCTTTCTATGCTGGTTTGTTTTATGTACTACTATTGACTTTTCTTCAGTTTTATATAAGATACACAGCCTAGTGAATAATAAAAAAGTATTATTACATTTACTTTAACTCTTAGCCTTTGCTTTGACTGCACAGAAGGAGACCTTTAATTTTTATATGCTTTGAAATTCATGAAAATTGACATTTTTGCCTGACAACTTATTTCTCCACTTTCATATGCCTTTCCTCTTGACTGAATTTAGTCTTTTGTAGTGTTGCAGAGGCTGTAGATTACCAAGTTCTCCTAGATTCACAGGGCAGTAACTATAGGCTTGAAGAACATTCACCACTAAACCTGAGTGAGGCTCATTCGATGTTGTAAGAAATAGAGGGCTCATTTGTTCCCTCTGACAGCCTCTCCAGGGGTGCTCACTTATGTGTACATGCACTATGTATACATGTCCTATGTGTATGTATGAGAGTGTGTGCATTTTGTTATGCATTTTAATAAAATATAGTCATATATATTATTATAGATGTGTATATACATAAATACATATGGAGGAAATGGACAATGGTATGTTGTAATGTTCAGAAATGAACAAGGTGATGTAAACACTGTCCCTAAATCTTGTTTCACAGTAGAGTTTCCAGTAGATGACAAGTACGGTAGCCACCACAAAGGGCTGTGAGAGAGAGGGTGCATCTCTCCAAAACAAGTATTCCCCACAACACAGTGACAGTAGGCTAAAACATTTCGAATATTTTCCCTGCCTGCTTAGAGAAAGCATAGGGCTCAGGCTGTCATTCCATGTTACAGTAACAGTTCTCGTTTAAATTCATTAATAAACAAGCACTCTTCTAAACTTAGCTAATGTGCTCTTACTCCTGAAAGATAAAGAAATCCAGTTTTGGGATGCTGACAAAGTGAGTCTTCTGAGCCTATTAGAGTAAAAACAGCTTACCCTAGTGTAAGGCAACTATAACTGTAAGATCATGAATGTTCTCGAGAGACCACTTAAGGACAGACACAGGCTATTCTGGGCATATTTTAATGTCCTTTTTGGCCTTTCTATTTTAAAACATTTCATCTTTCTTGTGTGTGGCTCCTATCATTGCTTTCCTAAGTTTAAGTTGGTATATTCAACTGTTCATTCCTGAACTCTATCCCAGGAACTTTTTTCTCCCACTCTTAACAGAAGTCAAGAGACATAGGTCAATTTTCTGTAATTTAGTAAGTAATTCAGTAGCACTCAATACTCAGTATCATCATTTATACATTATAACCATTATAACATTTATTCTGCACATCTAAGTTTGCTTTGAATGACAGAATTAATACTAAGAGACCTTGTCTCCCTTGAAAATTGATGGGAAGGAAGCTTTAGCCAGATAAATACTTTTTTAAAAAAAAATGTCATCAAGTGAGAGAGCCTGAACCACAATCCCAATGGGATCAGAACACTTGAGTCAATTAGCCAAGACTCCACCTACCTGTGCACTAGTGATGGCCCAGCCAATGGAAACCCACTACTTAACATCCTGGCAAAGCTCCCTGTCTATGGGCACTGCTTAACTGGGCCATATCCTCACTTCCTCTCTGTCTCCCCTTTCTTTTTATGCTTTCTTTGCTGACCAAGCCCCTGTTCACATTCTTTCCTATATTTGTTAATATATTCCATCACATTATTAAAATCTAACTGATCGTACCGTCCAGGGACACATCGTGTCCCTCGAAGACTTGACTCTATTCTAACCCGTTATTGTTAAAATTAACTTTCAAAGGGCAATTAGCATTTGTAATTTCATGAGGAATAGTCAAATAGCCTGAAAGTAATATCAACAGGCTCTCTCTATTTAGAGGGGCCTCACTGAGAAAAGGTAAAGAATTTCCCGTTTTAACCCATGATGGTGTTTGTAACCTAGAATGCCATTTTTACAGCATTCAAAATGGCCAGTTTCAAGGTGGCTGACGTGGTTTCGGTGATTCATATTATCAAAAAATGTCTGTCTTACTAGATTTTTTTAACCAGAAGTTGATGTAGTTTTAAATTTTTTAAACTGCCATTTACTATGAATTTTAGGTAGGTGCACAAATAACCTACAGCTTTGAACTTTCTGAAGTAATATTTTCATACTTTTTACTTCAAATGTAGAATAATTTTTTACTGGTTAAATTATTTTGACAGCTTAAACCCAATGAAAGAGTATATGTGTATATATTTATGAGAACATTGAAATACTGTTTGAGAGTAATTATTTATAACAGAGACTTCTGGATTTGACAAATGTTATCATTGTCTTGAGAACTGTTTCTAGTTGTAAACAGTAAATAGATAATACTGTGGTCAGAAACTTTCCTGGAATTTAGTAGTGTTTGTATGAACTGTATACCACTGAGAACCAGAGCAGGGAGAACTTTAGTTTATTATACTTGAGTTCTGTTTTTTCTGTTTGTTTTTTGCTTGTTGGTTTGGTTTGGCTTTCATCTTGTAAATAGTAAATAATTATATTTCATCTAGCACATTTTTATGTATAGAAGATATACATTGGAGATGGAATAAAAATATAAACTGCCAATATTTTACTTATACTTTTGAAAAGATGACTTGTTACAGATAAATTTATCAGGAAAAAAAAAGCAAACATAGACTGCAAATCCCTTTGTTTTATGTGTCTTCCTAACAGATGATGGGAGTTTAGTCTAAAGAATAGAAAGCCATACGGACAATAAAACTCATTCACAGAGATGAATCTCGAATATTTCAATAATATTGCATTTGGATTGGAAACTGTAAACAAACCTTCAGACTGCAATTCAAATTTTACTTTTATTTTTTTTCTTACTTAAACATATGTACATTATATTCCTATTTCTCAAAAATATGACTAGGAAGGTAAAAAGCAACTAACGTTATAGCCTTCTTATAAAGAAATTTGGCCCTTTATGAGTTCAACTAAATAGCTAAATGTCTACTTTTCTATTTGTAACATGTTTTTTTCACTGTTACCAGTAAAAAGTCATTTATTTATAGGCCTCTTTAGATATTTGTATTTTTCTTCAACCACAATTTAAACATTCATCTTCAAATCTTGCCTACCATTGCATTTATTTGAAATCGACACTTGTGTTTTAGTTCATTTTTAATAATCTGAACCAAGGCTTCTGAATCATTTATCCATATGGTTACATAGTCTAGGTTATCAATGCCTGTGCATATCATACTGTAAAGTGCTTTGAAGATGTGTTCATCTCTAGGTGAAGCTTGTTGGCTGATGGATTTATTAAATGATTTGTGACATAGCATATCCCTTGTTCTACCCCCAAAGTCTTCCATTGAGACAGTATGCTTCCTCCAGAGGAGGAGCCGGTAGTCTCTGGCTATATTCTGGAAACATAGGAAAAGAGGAATTTCCCTTTTTTCTTTTGAGGGGCCCTTTTCCTGGTGTTGCCTTAAAATATTTTTGTCACGTCATTTTCCTCAGTAGCAGTGAGCGTTACTGGGTCAGAGTGTTACTATACACTCAGTAATTTCACACATATTTACTCAGTTCATCCTTGATATGATTTGGCTCTGTGTCCCCACCCAAATCTCATCTCAAATTATAATCCCCACAGGTTGAGGGAAGGACCTGGTGAAAGGTGATTGGATCATGGGGGCAGTTTCCCCGATGCTGTTCTCATGATAGTGAGTTCTCATGAGATCTGATGGTTTTATCAGTGGTGGTTTTCCTTCTTGCTCTCTCTCACCTGCCACCATGTAAGACGTGTCTGCTTCCCCTTCCACCATGATTATAAGTTTCCTGAGGCCTCCTCAGCCATGTGGAACTGTAAGTCAATTAAACCTCTTTCCTTTACAAATTACCCAGTCTCTGGCAGTTCTTCATGGCTGTATGAGAATGAACTAATACAATCCTCATGATGATATTATGAAATAGATACTATTATTTTCTCTATTTAAGAGATGATGACAAACTGTGAGTCACAATTTTTAAGTAACTCAGTAACACAACTGGTGTGATTTGTGTTACTGCAAATTACTGTCTGTTTTACAGTAACATTGGTAATTATGCCATTTTCACCCCGACACAATTTCAAACACACCCTTCCCCACCAAAAACTGAATCCAATTGAGATTCCCAGTTGCAGATTCTCTGATAATTACTCTTGCAATCTTTTAGGGAGGAACAGAAGGTTACATGGCTGCCTTGAGTGGTGTAGGGGGCCCCAGCCAATCTCCAAGTTTTATCTTCTATACCTTACATTCTGCCGCTTTTCATGATACATTCTGCCTCTTGATTTTGAGCCTTTCTGGCATTGAGTGGTGTAGCTCACCTCGCACAGATACCTCTCCCCACAAGTACTAAAGTAGTTTTTCACCATTTCCATTTTCACTTCTCATGGACTTCATTATCTTTAAAAACTTCATTGAAATCTCTCACCCAACAGTTGTACTCATATTTCGTTGACGTTTCAGCCTTTATACTTTTTAAAAATCAGTTCACTCTTACTTTGGTGAGTTTTCAGAGGCAGAGGAAGCAGAACTATAATCAACTAATCAAGCCCCTTTGAGCCAGCAGTTCTTCCAGGTTTGTGATTCACAGATACCCTGGAAGAATTGATGAAGGCTTCTATCATCTCCCCTAGAAATGTGAAGACACAAGATATTCTGTATGACATTGGGGCTGAGGATAGCTTTTGTGGTTGGGAAGAAGTATGATAATGTGTGGAGTTTTCCCACATATATTTAGGAACTTTACTCTTTTATTAAAAAACAAATTAAAAGTTGCATCTGTTAAATTTTCTCTTACAAAAACATTTATGGATTCATCATTAAACATACATGTTTTGGAAGCTTAGTATTTATCACGTTTGTATGATAACTCGGTAGTGAGAGCACAGAGGGCAGTCCCAGTGTTCAGAGAGTTTATGGCAGATAGTCGAAGGAGAGAAATGAGGAACAAGGAAGTATAACTGTGTGACAGGAGACTATCATACAACTTATGCCCTGGGTGCTACTGAAGCACTGAGGGGAGGGACCTAGCATTTGGAGTAAGAAACAGTCATCAGGGAAGGTTTCATCGAGGAAGTAGGGTTCATATGTTTTGAAAATGTTATCTATTTGAACACTCTGTTATCAGGTACAGACATATTTAGAATTTTTCTAACTTGTAGTGAATTTTACCTTTTTTCATTGTATACTAACCTTCCTTATCTCTCAGAGCGCCTTTTTCCTTGTGTTGTCTTAAAATATTTTTTGACACCTCATTTTTCTCAGTATCAGTGAGTTCTCTGTGCTTCAGAGTGTTATTCTATGCTCAATAATTTCACGTGTATTTACTCAGTTCATCCTCATAATAATACTATGAGATACAAACCATTATTTCCTCTATTTTAGAGGTAAGAAAAAACATGATGCACAATAACTTAATAACACAACTGGGGCAATAAATAGGATCAAATTCAGACACCAGCACCTTGAAGCCTGAACCTCTCCACACAGTAACACTACTGTATATTACAAATGATCTCAATACGTTTATACTATAGCACTAAGATTGGTATATGATTGTAACCATACTAATTTTCTTTTTCTTAAAAAAGTTGTATTTGCCTTAGTTACCTTTCTCAATTCTTTTACTTTCAAATTTTCTTAGTTCCTGTGTGTTAGACATGCTTCTCAGAAATAGTATTTTGCTAGATTTAAGAAAAAATCAATAGTTCTGTCTTTTCAGTATAGTATTTCTTAATATATTTCTACCATCTTATTTTGCTTTTTCTTTTTGATTTTCCTTTATTCCTTCTTCTCCCCCCCCTTTTGGTTGATCAAATATTTTTAAAATATCGATTTCCCCTACAATTGCTTTGA
The DNA here is from genome assembly GCF_000001405.40 of Homo sapiens. Classification (NCBI taxonomy): domain Eukaryota; kingdom Metazoa; phylum Chordata; class Mammalia; order Primates; family Hominidae; genus Homo; species Homo sapiens. The sequence continues at coordinate 147,377,198 of NC_000007.14, forward strand.
AATGTATGTATGTCATATCTAGTATTTTAGGGATTATCCTTATTTTTTTTCAAAAATACTTATTAAATTCCAACATAGCTTAAGATCTTGATCTTTCTCCTGAACATAATCCTAATCACAGTATTTGAAACTTACTTCTAATCACACCCTATCATGCTATAGTCTACTTTTTGTCCTGAGTTTTAGTTCTCTTTTTTAACTTTAATATTAGTCATTATCACTTTTATAATTTTAGTTTATGTAGTCAATATAGTTTTAGATTTTACCACATTTGCATATTTCTTCTGTTATTATGTCATCTTGTATTTCTCTCTTTTCTGGACATAGTTCCATTCTTTGACACACATCCTTTAGTTTAGATGGCTTTTAATGGGAATGTGTTGGTACTAAGGTGCTTCTATTTTTACATTTTTAATTTAAAATTTTTTCATTTTTTGTTTTTCTGAAAATATCTTAATTTTACCATCTTCCCTGTTTATTTAGCTTGGTATACAAGTCTATGTTGAAAGTTTAGTTTCTCTCAGTACTTTGAGTATATTATCCTACTAAATTCTACCTTTTGTTTTCACTTTTCTTAAGAAGCTTCCTGACTGTTTTAAAATTGTTCCTTAGGGATACTCTCTCTTTTCTCCCTTGCTACTTTTATGTTCCGTGGTAATGTGCTGTTATAGCATGCTGTGTTTAGTGCTAGATTACCTTTATAAAAATGTTTAATTGGGATGTATTGTCCTTTCTGAATCTGAATTTTTAAATGTTCTGGAAAATTCTTAGATGTTACGTATTTTAATTGATTCTCCATCATTCTCCCTTTTCTCTCCTCTGAAATTCTATTAATATTGTTCCAAAAGTAATTACAGTTTTTGTCATTACTTTTAATGGCAAAAACCACTATTACTTTTGCACCAACCTAATACGTTAGAACTCATTTTTATACTGTATATTGTAGAATTTATATTTAATGTTTCTAAGTTTTTTTAAATTTCTGAATGACATTGTCGATATTCAATCTACCTTTCAGTTTACAAACTCACTCTGTAGCTTTGTCTCATCTGCTTAATGCAACTAATGAGAGGTTTTTTTCTTTAAAAAAATTTAACTTATATTGGTATATAATAGGTCTATATATTTATGGGCTACATAAGAATGTCTAATAATTATATCAGGGTAAATGGGGTATCCATCACCTAAAGAATTCATCGTATACACAACAGAGTACTATTCAGCCATATAAAAGAATGAGATCTTGTCATTTGCAACTACATAGATAGAACTGAAGGACATTATGTTAAGTGAAGTAAACCAGGCACAGAAAGACAAACTATGTGCGTTCTCACTCATTTGTGGGAGCTAAAAATTAAAATAACTGAACTCCTGGAGATAGTTGAATGATGGTTATCAAAGGCTGGGAAGGATAGTGGGTAAGGTGGGAAATGGTGACAGTTAACGGTTACAAAAATACAGTTGGATAGAATGTGTAAGATTTAATGTTTGATAGTACAACAAGGTAACTAAAGCCAACAATATTTTATTTTACATTTAAAAATAACTGAAAGAGTCCAGTTAGAATGTTCATAACTAATGCGTTTTTAATTCCAATAATATATTTTTAATTCCTGGAGTATCCATTTATTTCCTTATCAACAATGACTGGTAATTTTTAAGTATTATTTGATATGGTTTGGCTGTGTTCCCACCCAAATCTCATCTTGAATTGTAGTTCCCATAATCCCTACATGTCGTGGGAGGGACCCAGTGAGAGATAATTGAATCATGGCAGCAGTTCCCCCCATGCTATTCTCACAATAGTGAGTGAGTTCTCACGACATCTGATGGTTATAAGGGACTTTCCCTCACCTTTGCTCTGTACTTCTTGCTGCCTCCATGTGAAGAAGGGTGTGTTTGCTTCCCCTTCCGCCATGATTATAAGTTTCCTGAGGCCTCCCCAGCACTGCAGAACAGTGAGTCAAACCTCTTTCCTTTATAAATTACCAGTCTTGCCTATGTCTGTATTAGCAGTATGAGAACAGCCTATTACAGTATATCTTATTCTTTTCTTGTATATTTAATTCTCATTTTACTTCAAATAATTTATGAATGTTTTATTTCTCAATCCCCAAATTTAGCTGAAATTGAATTCATGGGGGCCAAATATTCCATGCGGTGTTTCTGCTGAATTCTGTTCATTATACTTGTTTTCTTGAGTTTTATATTTTTGGATTGTGAGTTTAAATTTTTCAGGGCTTTGTCATTAGTAATCCTATAATTCCAGAGTGAATCCAGAGAGGGGTTACACTTTATTTCAAAAGATACCAGCTTGGAACCATTTTTTCTATTTTAAGTTCTTGATTTGGGGGTTATATCCAATAGTCAGTGTAAATTCAAAAGCTGTAATTTAATTCAGCAAGTTTATGGCTTATGCATTCTCAAGAATCATCATTTTTTTTGGAAAAAGATAAAATACAGACAAATTTCCTTGTCATCCCTCTTTGCTGACTAGTTAATTTTTCTCCAGTGTCTGCTTTACTGTGAATTTAGCATTTTTAGGTTTTATGTGGTGGGGCTAGGGGCGTGAGGGAGTTCCTATTCTTTGCACAGGTCTATTACTTGATTTCTAATTCTGTTTGGCCTTGAAATCCAAAATTCTGCATTGTAAAGATTAGTAAATACCCTCTGACTACTATAGCCCACCATCAGCTAACACCCTGAATTTCAGTGTTCTCTTTTTTTCTTGATACCCAAAAGCTTCTCCTATTTTACTGGATGCTCAGATATATAACTTAAAAGATGTATGTTACATTTTATTTAGCATTTCTAGGTGTTTGAAACTGGAAAATTTTCAGGCTCCCATGTTGCCTCGTCCTAGGAAATGTAATCCTTAGAGATTATTGTTTCTGTTTCCTATTATGTGATGTGACATTACAGAATGTTAAGTATTTTAAATAAATTATCTTATATCAGAAAATTTATGTTATAAACTTTTGGGGTGCAGTTAATATTTTAGAAATGTTTTCAGATACAAAAAGCCATGTTTTAAAATATCTCAGAATAGACATTATAATCTTGAAAAAAAAACCCTGATTTTTATTGAAGGGTTTTGTTATGAATGAAATTTGGAGGTGCTCTTGTAGCATTCTGCATTTACATTCTAGCATCACGCTTCATCAATAAACATGAAGACATTTGTATAACATGTAAAACCATCTTATTTATACCAAGTGCAGAAAATTGAAAAGCTTCTAAAGATTATATCAAGAGGAATAATAATAATACAAACAATAACAAACACCATAACAACAAAGAAAAGAAGAAGCAGGAGGAAGAATGGCAGTCACAGGCTCCTATTTTAGGCCAAGCACACTCCTAAGCATCAAAGCCAAAAAAAAGGCAGAAAAATGTTAAGGTGACAAAGGCAAGAGCCCACGCTACACAAAGCATTTCTTGGCTCGCCAATTTCAAAGCAACTCCTGAGATAGAGCCTCACAATCTGGCTTTGCTATTGATTTGAAGTTAATATCAAATTAACAGAATACCAAAATATATAGTCATATATAGAAGCATTCCAAAGCTAAATAAAACTGTGTTTGATTTCCTACTAGTTGGGATTGTCCCTATCATCTTAATGCAGATAATTGTGAGTCTAGTTTATATCCATATTTTACTTTTCCATCTGCAATGATACTAATTTTTTTAATAGCAGAGCCATCCCCCATATGAAAGTATTTGGAAAATATATAGACTTTCAAAATGACAATATAGACGAGACTAAGAAATTATTTTCTGGGTTTTTTTTTGTTTTTTAAATAGAGTGAAAAACGAATCTCTCAAATACAAAATATTTTTAAACGTGAGAAACTTGCACGCTACTCCCTCAAAGCTGTCTAATTCAAGCAAACACTAAATGACACTGGCAGAGCTGATTGAGCAGCTGCTGGGTGTCAGTCACTGTACTAGGGGCTTTTAATACAGTGTTTTATTTAACAGTTTACAAAAACCATAGGAATTGGGTATTATTAATTCCTGCCTTACAAATGAAAACACTGGCGTTAAGACAGGATGAGTGAGTTAGTCAGGGTCACACAAATACATCTTAAACCAGTTCTGGCTATTCTGCAGCCCAAGCTTCCAACCACCGGCATTGTATTTTTCAGAATATTGTATAATTTCATAGTAATTAAGCAAATGTTTACACTTATAAGAAAAAATCAGTAAGACAATATTATTTTATGTTATGACTGTATCTGCCGATGTTTTAGATATACTAGCAGTTTGTGGATATAAGGAATTAAAGTTATCTGATGTAAAAATTATTTATTTTATATTTGCATTTTCTCTATTTATCAATACACAACTAGGTCATGAAAAAGACTATGTAAAAAATATATGAAAGTGTCAAATTATTCAGTTTGTTCATCCTTTTATTGTGGCCCCTAGGCAACGATGGCTTTTTAAATCATTTTGTATAATTTGATTTGCAAATTGCTAAGTATCCTAGTTTGTCAACATACTAGTCTGCTTCTCTAATTTCTTTTCAATTTTACGTTCTTGTAAATCTCTTTACGCTTATTAAAAGATACTCAAAAATATCACTATCTTTTAATGTTAAACCAACTTTAGTATAAACATATTTTATATATAATGAGTATTATATGAAAATAAGATGGGAAACCCACAAATACTATTAAAAAACAGTTGCTACAACTAACACAATATAGTTATTATAAATATCCATGTATAAAAATAACATTCTAAACCTTAAATATTATGAAATATTCTAGCTAAAGTATAATTTAAAATAATATGGCTACTCTAAATGGTCCAATAAATTATACCAAATTAATTTTCATTAAATCAATTAATCTAATAAACATCACTTTTAAAAATAAGTATTTTCTTGTTTATATATGGCATAATAATTTGTAAATCACTACAAACATATTTTGCATTTGGAAAACCAGATCATTAGAGGGAAAAAAAAGATCCTGGGCATTTTCAAAATTCCTGAGTTTGTTTTATTAAATAAATAAAAGGCTCTTGAACAGGAGCATAACAGGATCAGATTAATATTTTTGATAGAGACACCTCAAACTTCAAGCCAGAAACAAATTGGAAGTGGACAGTAGAAAATCTGTGGTAGTCTGGGCTCAGGTGGGAACGAAGAGAAAGAGGGCTATTCAACAGGTAGAATTAATATGATATGATTGTGCATTTTGCAGAGTGAGGATGGAAGTGCCAGGATCAACTCTTGATTGATTAATATGCACAAACTTATTGATAAACTGAAGCTAAGACTTTTTGAGTGACCAGTGATATAGAGACAATGACAGAATACCAGCAATATCTTGAGTTTTGAACATGAGTGCAATATTAAAATGGAGGAGTCAAACTAAACTTTGGATATATTAGTGTTGAGTTCAGAGGAGAGAGCTGAGACAGAGATATGATTAGAGACATCCTCCCATAGTTGGTAGTTGAAGCAATGGCTTTGGATAAGGTCTTTATTAAGGAGAATCTGCCAAGAAAACAGAAGTAGCCTAGGACAAGCTTTAGGAACTCTCTCACTTACAGACGAGGTAAGAGACAAGAAGTCAGTACAGGAGGTTGAAATGTGATTGTCAGAAAAGTAGAAGGAAAACCTCGAATGATGTAGTACATTGTCAGCCAAAGAAAGATAAATTATCAAGAAGAGAGTGGCACCTTCTCAAACTTTTTAATACTGCCAGTTTATCTACTCATATGAATGGGCAGTAACATTGTTTTTAATCCTATTATATTACTCTTTCTGTAGTTTATCTTCCTAATGAGATTATAGCATTCCTGAGGACAAAAGCAATATAGTTTAGGTGCTTAATAAATATAAACAGGATTGAAATTGCCAACACTATTTTTATCCTAGAAAAAAAGTGATACTTAATATTACATCTTCACTTCCTTTAGGTCTTGGTGTCAGTTCTCTTATCAGAAAGGTCTCTGACCGGCAGTTTAATATCTTTCCTCTCTCCTGGCTCTGTATCCGCCTTACTCAATACATTTTTCTTCATAAAAATTAATGCATTCATTCAAGTGATCATTCACCTAACAAATACAGAGCGGTCTATAAGTCTGGAAACCAATATATATTATGTTTTAAAGAAGATATTTTTATCACTATTTTCAGACTTAATAAATACCTTGTATCTTGATCTTCTCTCTGATATCATATGGATTGTTTTAGATAAGTAAGGTGGTGATTTTTAAGGTTTGTGAATTTTGTGTCAACAAATATTTTTAAAAAGATACATAGTGCTGCAATAAACGTACATGTGCATATGTCTTTATAGTAGGAACAGAAACCCAAACACCACACGTTCTCACTCATAAGTGGGAGTTGAACAATGAGAACACATGGACACAGGGAGGGGAACACCACGCACCGGGGCCTGTCGGGGTGGGGAGCAAGGGGAGGGGAGAGCATTAAGACAAATACCTAATACATGTGGGGCTTAAAACCTAGATGATGGATTGATTGGTGCAGCAAACCACCATGGCACATGTGTACCTATATAGCAAACCTGCATGTTCTGCACATGTATCCCAGAACTTAAAGTAAAAAAATAAAAATCGTTTATGAATCATTGATTCATAAAATGAATATACTAGAAAAAGAAAATACCATATTCAGAAGTGCATACACACAAACACAGCCCCCCCAACACACACATATGTAACTAAATAAACCAATGCAGATAATTATAAATTGTGACAAATTCTGTAAGAAGAAATTAGTAGTTGAAGATCTAAAATGAAAAAAATTTATAGAAAAATTTTAAATTGACTGGTCTGGGAGGGCCTCTTGGAAGGTGACATTTGAACTGACCTGAATCATATGGATAACTCAGCCATGAAAAGTACAAGTGAGAAAAATAGGAAGAAAGGGTTTGGTTTTCCTGAGATGCATAGAGAAGAGTATGGCTGAAACATGGTGACCAAGGATAGACATCTTAAGTATTCACTCTGAAAACTAGCAAAGTAGCCACACAATAACATGGCAGAACTATTGCTAAATATGATAGATTTCCTTGAAGAGTAAAGTATATATTACAGAAAAAGTGAAACTCATGTATAATTTTCTTACACATATTTAATGGTTTAATTCATATTGTTTTAATTTGTAAATTTCAGAAGAGGGATGCTCTAAGTGGGTGAATGTATCCTACGATTTTTAGGGTTAGGGATCTCTCTATGCCTAAATCTGCCTAAAAGAGATGTGAATTTACCTTGCAGTGAGAGTCAGGAGTCAGAATATTCAGAGTCTTTGAAAGCCACAGAAGTCACCCTGGTTTGATCATATAGAATACATATATGAGGATCAAGTGTAAAATGCTACTGACAGGTCTAGTAAGAGAAAGACTGAAAATGTTCTTTAGTGGCCTGAAAATTATCAGACACTATGAAGAGCAATCTCATCAATAATCCATAGAGGTTGAATGCATAACAAGGTGGAATAAATGTAATCCAAATTAGAGCTCTTGGATGACAGAATTTTTAGCGTTAAGTGCCATTTCAGTTGGAACATAACATTTTATACAAATAGTTTTTATTTTGAAACAATTTAAAACTTACCAAAAAAATTGCAAGAAGGATAAAAAGGCCACTACTGTACCCTTCACCCAGAGACCTCCTTCAACGTTTGTTACTTGTTTGAAAATGTCCTTGTATTAGTCTCTTTTCACACTGCTGATAAAGACATATTCATGACTGAGCAATTTACAAAAGAAAGAGGTTTAATGGACTTACAGTTCCACATGGCTGGGGAAGTCTCACAATCATGGTGGAAGGAAAGGAGGAGCAAGTCACATCTTACATGGATGGTGGCAGGAAAAGAGAGAGAACTTGTGCAGGGAAACTCCCATTTTTAAAACCATCAGATCTCATGAGACTTATTCACTATCATGAGAACAGCACAGGAAAGACCCATGCCCAAGATTCAATTACCTCCCACCAGATTCCTTCCCTGACTCGTGGGAAGTGTGGGAGTTACAATTCAAAGTGAGAGTTGGGTGGGGACACAGCCAAACCATATCATTCCTTGTCTGGCCCCTTCCAAATCTCATGACATCACATTTCAAAACCAATCATGCCTTCCCAACAGTCCCCCAAAGTCTTAACTCATTTCAGCATTAACTCAAAAGTCCATAGTCCAACGTCTCATCTGAGACAAGGCAAGTCCTTTCTGCTCATGAGCCTGTAAAATCAAAAGCAAGTTAGTTACTTCCTAGACACAATGGGCGTACAGGCATTGGGTTACTAGAGCTGTTCCAAATAAGAGAAATTGTCAAAATAAAGGGGCTAAAGTCCCCATGCAAGTCCAAAATCCAGCAAGGCAGTCAAATCTTAAAGCTCCAAAATGTGTCCTTTGACTTCATGTCTCATATCCAGGTCATGCAGATGCAAGAGGTGGGCCCCCATGGCCTTGGGCAGCTCTGCCCCTGTGGCTTTGCAAGGTATAGCCCCCTTCCTGGCTGCTTTCAAGAGCTGGTGTTGAGTCTGTGGCCTTTCCAGGCACACAGTGCAAGCTGTAGGTGGATCTACCATTCTGGAGTCTGGAGGATGGTGGCCCTCCTCTCACAGCTCCACTAGGCAGTGCCCCAGTAGAGACTCTGTGTGGGGCCTCTGACCCCACATTTCCCTTCTGCACTGCCCTAGCAGAGGCTCTTCATGAGGGTCCCATCTCTGCAGCAAACATCTGCCTGGGCATCCATGCATTTCCATACATCCTCTGAAATCCAGGTGGAGGTTCCCAAACCTCAATTATTGACTTATGTGCACCCACAGGCTCAATACCACATGGAAGCTGCCAAGACTTGGGGCTTCTGTTCTCTAAAGCAGCAGTCCAAGCTGTATCTTGCCCCCTTTTAGTCACAGCTGAAGGGACTGGGACACAGGGCACCAAGTCTCTAGACTGCACATAGCAGAGGGACCCTGAGCCCGACCCATGAAATGATTTTTTCCTCCCTAAACCTCCAGGCCTGTGATGGGAGGGGCTGCCGCAAAGTTCTGACATGCCCTGGAGACATTTTCCCCATTGTCTTGATGATTAACATTTGGATCCTTGTTACTTATGCAAATTTCTGTAGCAGGCTTGAGTATCTCCTAAGAAAATGGGATTTTCTTTTCTATCACATTGTCAGGTTGTAAATTTTCCAAACTTTTATGCTCCGTTTCCCTTTAAAAGCTGAATGCCTTTAACAGCACGCATTCACCCCTCAAATGCTTTTCTGCTTAGAAATTGCTTCTGCCAGATACCCTAAATCACCTATCTGAAGTTCGAAGTTTCACAAATCTCTAGGGCAGGGGCAAAATGCCACCCGTCTCTGCTAAAACATAACAAGAGTCACCTTTGCTCCAGTTCCCAGCAAGTTCCTCATCTCCATCTGAGACCACCTCAGCCTGGATTTCATTGTCCATATCATTATCAACATTTTGGTCAAAGCCATTCAACAAGTCTCTAAGGAGTTCCGAACTTTCCCACATTTTCCTATCTTCTTCTGAGCCCTCCAAACTGTTCCAACCTCTGCCGTCACCAGTTCCAATGTTGCTTCCACATTTTCAGGATTCTTTTCAGCAGCACCTCACTCTACTGGTACCAGTTTACTGTATTAGTCTATTTTCATGCTGCTGATAAAAACATACTCGAGACTGGGCAATTTACCAAAGAAAGAGGTTTAATGGACTTACAGTTCCATGTGGCTAGGTAAGTCTCACAATCATGGTGGAAGGCAAGGAGGAGCAAGTCACATCTTATGTGGATGGTGGCAGGCAAAGAGAGAGAACTTGTGCAGGGAAACTCCCATTTTTAAAACCATCAGATCTCGTGAGACGTATTCACCATCACGGGAATAGCACAGGAAAGACCCACCCCCATGACTCAATTACCTCCCACTCGGTTTGTCCCATGACACATGGAAATTGTGGGAGTTACAATTCAAGATGAGAGTTGGATGGGCACACAGCCAAACCATATCAGTCCTTTACAGCAAAAGGACCCACTCTGGGATCACATGTCACACCCTGTTTTTCTGATTCTCCAGTCTCTAACAATCATAATTATATCTTCACTTTAGTAATTTCTTCACTTTCACAACCTTCTCATTCTTGAATATTCTATCCCAGTCATTTGTCGCTTGTCCTGAAATTGGATTAGTTTGATGTTATACCCAGCCTTGTATTTTTGACAGGTGTCTTACACACCATGCTTTATTCTTCTCATTGAATCTCATCAGGTGGCCCCCCAGTATCAATTGGTCCTGTTACTCATGGTGATAACATTGATCACTTGATTATAAAGGTATCTGCCTGGTTTCTCCAATGTAAAGTGACTGCTCTCCCCTTTGAAATTAATAAACATATATATTTTTAAAATTGGGGTACTTGGTGTATATATTTATGAGGTACATAAGAGGTTTTGATACAAGCATTCAATAATGGGGATTGGGGTATCCATCTCAAACATTTATCCTGTGAGTTACAAACAATCCAATTACATTGTTTGTTATTTTAAAATATACGATTATTATTGACTGTATTTACCCTATTGTGCTATCATATAGTAGGTCTCGTTCATTAGATGGGGGTGGTTTATGAGTTTTTTAAAAAACTATATTTTTAAGGAGATAGTTTGAGGCTATGTTCTGCTTCCAACTTTCACCCACTTATTTGAGCACCTATTGATATGCCTTGCCTGAATTAATTATTAACATGATGGTTTCCAAATGGTGACTTTCTTCTTCCTACATTCCTGTTACATGTATTACTTAGTGTAGTGCTATTGGAGGAGCTTTCTATTTTCCCTGTGTATTTATTCACTTTTAGACAGGCAGACTCTTGGATTCCTACTTTATTCAGTAGGATATGATCTGTAGCTTCCTCTTTTTTTCTCCTCCCTTTTTTATTTTGATATTCAAAATCTCTTTTTGATACTCAAATTATTTATTTTGTATGCAAATTGCCCTTAATTTGAGGAGCAGATGCCATTTCAGGCTGGCTCCTGTGTCATTCTGACATGACCCCATCATTCTTTGGGCACTTCATTACTTTTTGGTGTGGCAAAATGTTCCAGATTCTTACTGTACTTTCCCTAACACAGCTTAGAATCAGTCATTTCTCCAAGGAGTCTTGGTTTTGCCCAGCATAGAAACCAGGATCTGGGAAACAGAACTATTCATTGCTTTGAGAGTGACCCTGTACGTAGGCTGTCTTCAGTGGATGATAGGAACCATCTGTATATTGACCAAATATACAATTTCATTCATACTTATTTCTGTATCTATCTACATATAGTGAAAACCACAAATTTACACTAATTGATTAAATCCTAATGCAAACCCACTGGGTTCATTCTGTCTTTTTTTTTCTTTTCTTTTTTGAGATGGAGTCTCGCCCTGTAACCCAGGCTGGAGTGCAATGGCGCAATCTTGGCTCACTGCAACCTCCACCTCCCAAGTTCAAGCGTTTCTCCTGCCTCAGTCTCCCAAGTAGCTGGGATTACAGGTGCACACCACCACACTTGGCTAAGTTTTTGTATCTTTAGTAGAGATGGAGTTTCACCATGTTGGCGAAGCTGGTCTCAAACTCCTAACTTCGTGATCTGCCCACCTCAGCATCCCAAAGTGCTGAGATTACAGGCGTGAACATTCTTTCTTATGTTTCATATGTGTACCCTCTTTCTTTGACGTTGGGAATTTGACTCTCACTATCCTCCATGTATTTACTTATTTGCCCAATCAACCTGTACTGTAACCAATCTCCCAGCCACATGGGGTGGAGATCCTGTGTGGACATCCTCTGTGCACAGGTCCTGGACACCACTAGACTCTCTTCCCCTGGACTACTCTATCTTCCTGCCTGCTGGGACCCTAGTTTTTATGAGGCTGTTTTCCTGCCCCTGCTCAATGGGTTTTTGACTAAGTTATTCAGGAAGGTTGAGTAAACAGTAGAGATTAGTAGACATTTTGTTATTCAGGAAGGTTGAGTAAACAGTAGAGACTAGTAGATATTTTGTGCAATCTGCCAAGATCAAATTGAAAGGAAGACAGTAGGTGGTTTTAAACATCCTTAAAGCATTCCACCAGCCTCCCTTGGACCTCCCAACCTTCCCAACTTTAAAAAAGGCAGAGAGAAGCTTTATATGCACTTGGTTTTAAACATGTCAATTTTTCAACCTTGTTGTCCACCGTTTGCTTTTTCTGTCCCATCAGATGAACATTATAACTTACAACAATTTAGGTTGCCATTTTAATGTCAAAACAAATATCAGCAAGTTTTTCACTGATGTATTTCTGAATTAAAATTTTAAAACCTTGAAAATGCTTGTGTTTTCTTTGTCAGCAAGAATAGCAATATACTGAGTGGACTTCAAATCAAGTATGAAGTTTTTATATGCAAGTCTTGAAACAGAAATTTCAGACATGCCAGTGAAGTAATATAATTACAATGTTCCTGGAAAGAAGAAAGGTTTCCAGTGCATGGAAAGTAAGATGCAATTGAGACTGACAAGATTACAATTCACTGTGGGTGTTTTAACACATTGTCAGATTGTAGAAACCAGTTACAATGACCCATGTATAGACATTGTATTTTTTATTCCAAATTCATAGAAATTCAAAGATATAACAAAAATACGCAAAAATTTTAACTTTATATTTTTACTAACTTGACAATTCGTTACATTCACTTTATTTCCATTTTATAGCTATTCATTTCTGACCCTCAAAATGCCAGCTGCAAATTTATATTACCAAAAAATCCCACTGTTAATCTAAGTAGGTTAAATCCTGAGCTTTGGAGTAGTCACTGAAGGTATCACAAACACTAATACACTAGTATTTTTACTGAAATTTCATTTGTTCATAAAGAGAACAAACACAGAAAATAAATAATAGGTTCTCCTCTGTTTCTAAGGGAGTTAAAACAGCAGGAGGTTCAGTATCAGAGATCCAACATCTTTAGCTCATTGTTGACTAAGGGAACTGTCAATATTCCACCAGTTACATAATGTTTCACAGGTGTGAGTAATCTTCAGGTTCTAATTATTAAAACTGATTTGAGATTATAATAGCAGGATGTGTTTGTTATACTTTGTATTAGTTATATATTGCTGCATAGTGCATTGCCTCAAAACTCAGTGGCTCAATGTAGTAATAATTTATTATCTCTTACTTTTCTGTAAGAGGCCAGTAATTTAGGAGCAGCTTGGCTGGGCAGTTCTGACTTGATATTTCTTATAAGGCTGCAGATACATGTTTCCTAGAGCCACAATCAGCTGATGACTTGACTAGGATTAGAGGCTCCATTTCAAGATAGCAGACTCACATGGCTAGCAAGCTGCTGCTGGAACTTGGTAATAGGCTTTAGTTCTCCTCCTAGGTGCCTCTCCATCTTACTACTTGAGGGTTTCCATGGCTTTTAGGCTGGCTTCCCTGGAGTAAGGGATCAAAAGACCAAGGTGCAGCCTCTAATGCCTTTATACTTAACCTTGGAAATCATATCACCTTGTTACTACTGCAACATTCTGTGTCACACGGAGCAGCACTGATTGTGTGGGAGGGAACTATACAGGCCGTAAATATTAGGAGGTATTTAAAATAACATAATTATAATGTGAAGATTTATGGCCATCTTGGAGATTGATTGCCGGTGTTCACCCTACAGCCCACAGAGATACATATCTTTTTCCACACACGAAGTACACCCAACCTCCTCTAAAAGCCATCCAAAGTCTCATTCCACTAGGCCATCTGCTCAAATTCCAGGACCTCATTGTCTAAGTCAAGTCAATCCAAAATGAATCTCAGAGAGTCCAAGAGAAAATGAAGCTGTTTAGGTATAGTCACTCAAGTACCACTTCCCAAGTACAGTTGTCAATCTTAAGACCTGTAAACAAGTTTTGTGCCATCCTCACACCACATATACAATGGTAGATTATGCACAGAGAAACCAAATTAGACTCTCTGGTTCAAAAGTGGAGAAAATAAGAGAGACAAGTCACTGGTCCACAGCAGTTTTGCAATCCAGTCAGGCACATGCTGGTCATTCTTGATTAGAACTCAGTCATGCTGTTTCCCGGACATGATTCTCCATGGCTCTTGGCTCTGCCCTCTGTGTTAGTTCTGCCACTGTAAGTCATCCTTTTTTTATGTATATAGAGGTTGTCTATGTTTACAGCTGCATAGACTCCTGACCATAAAGTTTGGAAGTCAAAGGCCTGTTTCTATTTTGTCCCAACTCTGTCCCTTTCAGTACAAGCTGGTGGTGTTACCTCCAATATAGTTATCTTAAAAATGAATGGGTTTTCTATGAATTTTATTCAGGTTTACTCCACTTAATAAAAGGCACATCCACAATTATATAAAGATAAGCTCCCCCTTACCCCTTGAGCTTCTGTAGATCTACAGAAGGAAAATGCTTTTAAGATAATTAGAATCCCTATTGTTTAACTGAAAAGACCTGTAAAGCATAAAAATAAGCTCTTTAGAGGGTCTTCTGTCTCATGGAGTGTCTCCCTGAGGAATACCTAATAATTTTCTTGGGTCTTTATGTAGATTTTATAGTCACGCTTCCTTGTCATCCTTAGATCATGTTTTCCTGGAATTTGATCTTTGCTTAGAAATGTGATTTCTTAATGTTTGCATTGTTCACCATCTGGAGAGATTGGAATTGAAAGAGCATTTTACTTTAAAATTCAGTAATGCCTGGCTTCTTCATTTGTAATAGTTCTTCTTTAGCTTTTTCTCTCCCATTTTCTTTTTCTTTTACTATAAACAGAAGATGCCCGATGGCTCCTTCAATACTCTACCTGGAAATGTCCTTAGCTAGATTATACAATTTCATTTAACTGTATCTTTTTCTTTTCCATATTATCACAAGAAACAATGTTGCTAAACTTTCCACCAGAACATAGCAAAGATCTAATTTTCTCTAATTTCTGATGACACTTTTCTCACCTTCCTTTAAGTCATTACAGCTCCTCAAGAGCCATCACGCTTCTTTTAAGGCCTGTCCCGCTAACTTGCATATTCCTGTCCCTAAATTACTGCCACATTTTCAGGTTTCTGTTATAATTCTCTGCCAGTATCAAATTCTTTTTTTTTTTGGTACTAAAGTATTTTATTCTATTTTATTTTATTTTTAATTTTTATTTCCATAGGTTTTTGGGGGAACAGGTGGTATTTGGCTACATGAGTAAGTTCTTTCGTGGTGATTTATGAGATTTTGGTGCACCCATCACCTTAGCGGTATACACTGAACCCAATTTGTCTTTTATCCTTCACCCCTCTCCCACCTTTCTTCCCTGAGTCCGCAAAGTCCATTGTATCATTTTTATGCCTTTGCATTCTCATAGCTTAACTCCCACTTATGAGTGAGAACATACGATGTTTGGTTTTCTATTCCTGAGTTACTTCACTTAGGATAATAGTCTCTAGTCCCATCTGGATTGCTGTGAATGCCATTAATTCATTTAATTTTATGACTGAGTAGTATTCCATTGTGTATATGTATAAAAAAGCCACATATTCATGGCAGCACAATTCACAATTGCAAAAATGTGGAACCAGCTCAAATGCTCATCAATCAACGAGTGGATAAACTATGGTATATATACAATGGAATACTACTCAGCCATAAAAAGTAGTGAATTAATGGCATTTACAGCAACCTGGATGGCATGTCCAGACATCACATTCTTTATTTGATATCTATTGTTGCATTATGTGTCACCTTAAAATTAATTTCAAACAATGATGAATATTCATTACCTCTCCTGGGCCACTCCAGAAGACAGTGTATGACATGGTGATGACTTGCCACGAAGTAAGTGATCTCAGAGACCAAGTTGCAGAGTTTTCTATTGTTCACAGAAGTCAGGCCTAATTGATTATAGAAGGGGACAACAAAAGGGTGTGAAGTCAGGAGCCAAAGATTAACGATGTCCATCTTGGAATATTATGGAGAGAAAAAAATTAATGAATATGTAGTATTTTGTCCTATAATTATCTTCTCCTAGAATATATCTCCTATTGGAAAATAAAAGGACTTAACCACTTCAAACTTCAAAATTACCAAGATCAAACAGAACATTGTTATAAGCGAATGATGAATTCTTGTTTTACAACCTTAATTATACCCAATTTGTAGTAATCGGTATTTATGCAGCTGCTGTGCTTCAGAGCAGCTTTTATTTTCACACATACATCCATTCATTTTGAAATCTTTCAAAGCTAGTGTGGATATGGTGAGACTCCCAATTATTCAAAAAAAAAAAAAAAACAGAAACAAATGACAGTCTTCTTAAGAGTGGTCAGTAAGTTACAACTGGGTGTTTTCTCTCTGCTAAGTTTAGACATTACACTCTATTCAATTTTATCTTGATTAAACAATTGAAAATCATGTGTGCACGCAACTGGTATAAACAGATCATTTACCTAATATCAGCATTTTTCTGAAGGGACTAAGTCAATGCGAATGAAAAAAATGTGGTTGACTAGAAAATACACATACACACACACACGAGCCATATATTAACATTAAAGTAGAGCCTTACATGGATTTTTTTTAAGTCAAGAAGTTAATTCAAATACAATCTTATTTTTATACAGTACTGTGTTAATAGGAAATAATATATACCTTTGTGATTAATCCTTATAGGAGATTCAAATGACAGTTATTGGACTTTAAATATTGTAATCCATTAATGAAGAGAAAAAGAAGATTTCTGCTCTACTAAAATACTATCCTTGGTCAAAAAGAATAGGATATTTTGAAAATGTCACTTAATAACTGGTATGGTTTGGCTGTGTCTCCACCCAAATCTCATCTTGAATTGTAGTTCCCATAATCCCTGTATGTCATGGGAGAGACCCACTGGGAGGTAATTCTATCATTTCATAATAGTGAGTGAGTTCTCATGAGATCTGATGGTTTTATAAGAGTCTTTTTCCCCACTTTGCCTGACACTTCTCCTTGCTGCTGCCCTGTGAAGAAGGATGTGCTTGCTTTCCTTTCTACCCTGATTATAAGTTTCCTGAGCCCTCCCCAGATATTCTCAACTGTGAGTCAATTAAACCTCTTTTCTTTATAAATTACCCAGTCTTGGCATGTCTTTTTTAACAACATGAGAACAGACTAATATAATGGCCATTTTTTGTTTTTATTGAAAATTCACTTTTATCCATTTAATGGAACTTTGGTTCCATCCCATTTTATATAAATTGTTTGTTGTTACAGATATAATATTAGATGAAGTGAATGTGTCAATAACTTCAGATTTGCAAGCAGACAAATTAGTACAGTTTAAATTTGCCCAGTAGGCAGATTTGGTATGGTGAACCATATGAAAAGTAGAAGCTCTGGGGACTTTCTGGAGATACTTAATGGGATTGAAAAATATCATTTTCTTATGGCCTACAAATTTTCCATCCATAATGGGTGTTTCTATCCAATTATGCATGTTTCTCTTAAAAAGATATAATAGTAATTGATTGGTGGTGATCTCTTAAAGTTATTTAGCAATAAACTCTTAATGTCTGATTTCAAGGTTGGTGTGGGCATTCTATTTCCTAATAGAATCAACAGTATTGTGTGTGTGTGTGTGTGTGTGTGTGTGTGTGTGTGTGTGTTTACTCTTGTTATTTACTCTTTTAATTTTAGTTCTATCTGTTATTATTTACTAGTATATATACCATATTATGGTATTTTATATATACCATATTATGGTATTTTATTTATACCATATTAGATAGTTTGTAGAAGATGTATATTCAAAGTAGGGTGGCTGACCCTTATGCCTAAATTTATTTGCTTCTAATGTTCCCTTAGATTTTATAAATTAAAAAAAGGCATCTATAATGCAAATATCTCTTTGTAATGAGTTACACACTAATCTACTTTATTTCATAATAGTAAGTTTGGCTTATTTGACATCTGAATAACAGGCAATAGGGAATTAAGAAAATAGAAATAAATATCAAAGAAACAAGAAGAAGAAAGTTGGATAGTTGGGAAAGTTCTAAAGTTTTGTGTCCTAATCTCTGAGGGCTGGCTCAGCAGAGAAAGAATAACAGTGAGTCTTTGACAGCAGAGGGACAGAAAGATGTGACAGTGAGAAAGATGATGTCAAAAGAGAAAATTTGAGTGACAGTAGACCCCAGAGGCAAACATTTACCTGGTAACCCATTACAATTCAACCCTGACTTCTTCCTCTGTAATAATCTCACTTTCTCAAAAAACTTCCTTTTTCTACACTGAATATAACATCAGCAAGGATTAAAGAAACAGTAGTTGGATGTGATGGCTGTGGCCAGGTAGAATACCCACAAGAATTTTAGTGAAGGTTATACTGTACACCAGATTTACATTCCCATTTCTTCTGTTTCACAGGTTTTCTGAACCAGATGAATAACTCAAGTCACTCTGTCCTTCAGCCTTCATTCCAAGGATGCATGCAGCTCATTCAAGTGGACGATCAACTTGTAAATTTATACGAAGTGGCACAAAGGAAGCCGGGAAGTTTCGCGAATGTCAGCATTGACATGTGTGCGATCATAGACAGGTAAATGATCTTTTCATCCTACCTCACGTTGTCCAAACTTTCCAAACCTGTGTTTCTGTTGTGAGACCAGTGAAACATCCCAAAAGAAAATTAAAGTTAAAAACAGGTAAGGTGGAAATTACCATTCAAAGTACGTATTGTAGTATACTTGTGATATTAGCAGTGATTATGTTTATGTTTTTATGTGGATATATATATCATATATCTATCATGTATATCATATATAGCATATATATGCTATATATGAGATATATCCTATATGTGCTATATGAGATATATCATATATAACATATATACATATATATGTAGCATATATATGTATATATAGCATATATGAGATATATTGTATATATAGCATATATATGATAAATATATATGAGATATATCATATATATATATAGCATATATATATATATATGTGATAAAACACACTGTGGTGTTATATTTGTTCAACAGTCTCCAATCAGAGAATCTGAGCCTTCAATAAGTAGTTTTGCAAGCAACAGCAGTGTGGCAGAGAAACTCTGACAGTTGATTTTTAGTTTACAGCAGAAATGTGCCTTCTCTTTCTGTCTCAATCATGACTTGGCCTCAGCATGTGCCTTCCAAAACCCGCTTCTGAAAGAAAAGGAATATTACAAAAGTGTCAGTGTGCAAGATGGGTATTTATGAAGCAGAATATTTAGAGTAACTGGTTCAGCTTACAAAATACACCTATTAAAATATGACAAAAATCAAATCTTTATTGGTTTTGCAAACCTGGGGAGAAATTTTTAATAAAAACTTTAATTGTATTCTCACACAGTGGGAAGATGCAACTTTTCTGTGAAATATTATGATTATACTGCATACACTACCTTAATATACTTCTAGATAGGGCCTGTCATTCCACTATGAACAAGTTTCATTTTGAGATGCTTTGTCTGTAAACAAATTATATATGATTTGAAGTTAACCTAGTGAATTTATATGATTTTCTAAGATATATTGAAGTCTTTTGAGGAAGAACTGTCTTATCCTAAAAGCTCATTTTATTAATTTTGTGTTTAGGGAAGATGAAAGTTCTTTAAATTTTTTTAAAATTTTGAACTAAGATATTAATCCTATCTCAGTCTACCCACAACAAAATGTAGACCATAAGTCTTTAACAAATGTATTTTATTCAAGAGGAAATACTTTAAGAAGTCACTCAAAAATGAATTTTACAAACATATAAAATAATCTATTTTGAAGTAAGTTTGCTTTCATAAAATCTGAATAAGATGGCGTTCGTGTGAATGGTAAGTTACAGTTTGTGGTGGCTGTAAGATAGAACTTCTATAAAGCCTTCACATGTTTATAAGAAGACTTTATGACATAGTATACTGCTTATTTCTATTCATGTATGCAAGTACTGATCTTAGTAGCCTAAACAGTTTATATTTAAATAGAATAGTGAACAATTTTAATGGAAATATACTCCTAATTATTGAGCCATTAATAATGTATCAGCTATTATTTCTGCCTAGAGCAAGTAGCAGCAATAATCAGAAAAGCTGAGATGAATGTTTTAAAGATCATTTGTTCTGATTTTAGATAATTATCTACATATTGTTTTGTACAGAAAAAAATATTTTCTTCATAATAGTTATGGAGTTTTTTAGTATCTACTCTTTTTTTCAGGTCAGTAATTGTGATGATACAATAATTTCATTACCTCTTTCAGCTTGGTAAAAGGGCTAGGTAATATGTTGCTGTTTCTCTCTAAACATCGTGTTTCTAGGCATTATATATAAATTGTTTGCTACTAAAGAAAGAGGGGTGATATGTTGAGATATTAATGTTTTACTCTGATAGAGACAGGAGTTAAATTGGTCCCAAAAGAATGAATGGGATTTTGGTAAATTAATAAAATGGAAGGTGATACTCCTGGTGGGGAGACCAACACAAGGGAAGGTATAGAAAAGAAAATACAAGTTTCAATTTTTCACAGATACAGAGATACACAAAATTTTTTTTTTTTTTTGCCAAAATAGGTCAGGCCCAATATTCATCTTGCCAAGTTTCCTGCAGCTAAAAGAACAAAGTTCACACCTTTCTTATTCTTTAGGATGACAAATGAAAAGATTAGCTGCAGGGAAGTAGCCACCTGTGACACATCTCCACGCATTTTCTAAACCCATTATGGGACCTATTTTTAGCTTACACTTTTTTTTTAAGGCAACAACATCTGTACATTAAATACCAATGTGTGAAACAGCAGATTCCTTTAGTCACCTAAAATGTTCCCAGTTCAAAATCTTAAGCATGAAGTGTTGTACTTTCATAGGTATGAGACAGGACTATTTTACTTAAACCACTGAAGAGTGTATTGATGATATCACCCTTAATCTGTGTCTTTCCAGGTAAAAGTACCAGTGGTTTTAGTCTGTCCTCATAGAGCAGTGATGTATCCAGATAATCCTTTAATGATACACCCCTAGCACATCTCTGCTTCTTTCTCCTCGCTGAGACTTTGCAACTGCCCCGTATCTACAACTTTCTTTTCAGATTACCCAAATTCTCCCAAAGGAAGCCTACAGTGGCTTTTCTTTTCTCCTTCCCAGTTCCAGCTTGATCGATTTGAGAGTTATTTTTGAGAGGGAGAAAAAAAAAAGTATAAATGAGAACATAGGGTAAAAAAAATAAAAGAGCTACACAAGCCTGACTTTTATAGAATGTTTGGAGATAATAGTCACAGCTGCAATGATTTGATGAGTAGAACTTAGGGAAACAATTTGTCTGAAGGTGTTTTTCTGTGTGTTGTATTGGAATACCCTACGATTTGAACTTTTTTTTTTTTTTTTTTTGCTTTGTGTGTAGATTTGCATGTGGCTTATTTTGTTCACGTGCTTATTTTCTGAACGCAGCTTTGAATCAAGGAAAAAGCAAGCTTGCCAAGCTACAGAATTATGCATTCAGTATTTATTTTCTGAGTGCATACTAGATGTCATGCTATTCTAGGCACTTGGAATAAATCCTTGAACAGGACAGATAAAGATTATTGAAAATTCTAAGCTGACATGGTAGAGGGAGGGGAGGAAGGAGAGATGACAAACTCTAATTAAAAAGTAAATAATCTAGCAAGTGAGAAGGAATAAATTTTATGGGTAAAAATACTAGAACAAAACAAGGAAGCCTGGCATGTCAGTAGATCAAGGTGTTGAGTTGTAGTTTAAATAGGTTGACCAGGATAAGCCTCCGTTGAAAAGATAATATTACTGCAAGACTTGAAAGAGGTAACTGAATGTACTAATGCAGGGAAAGAACATTTGACCCAGAGAGCACAGGCAACGAAAGAGGCACTTGCATGATCCAGGATCAGTATGGAAGCCATGGTGGCAAGTTTCGGGAGGTCAAGAATAGTTGAAGGAATAGACGCCAGAACAAGCCCTCCAGACTTGTAGGTTATTGTCAGGGTGTGGCTTTTACTTTGAATGAATACAGGAGCCATTTGCAGCGTTCTAAATAGAGCAACATGATGTACTCACGTCTTAAAAGGATGAATCTGGGCTGTGGGAGCAAGAAAGGTAGAAGCAGGAGGCTAACTAAAATTATGCCATTATAATCCAGGTGAGAGACGCGTGTACCCTAGACCAGGGTGCTAGCACAAGAAGTAGTGAGATGTGGCCAATTCTGAATATATTTTGGAGGCAGAGTCAGTAGGGTTTCTTTACAAATTAGATGTGGGGTATGAGAGAAATGGAGGAAATAGGGATAAATCCAAATGATTTGCTAAGAACAGCAGGAAGAAAGGAGATGCCATCTCTTCAGACTGGGAAGACTAGTTGTAGAGAAAATTAGTCAAAGGGGCTAAAGAAAAAGTCAGAAATTCAAGGTTGGACATGAATTGAAATGTCTACTGGACGTCTAAGTAGAAATGTCAGGAAGAGAGTTGGATATATGTATGTAACAAGCCTGTGTCTGCAGGTTTACACAATAAACCTTTGTGATTGACAGAATCCCTTTTGTTTAACTCTTGAGGGTCTTTGGTGTCTTTAGTTACATTTTATAAGCAATCATAGAACTGGAAGGGGAGGTGGTGGATAATGGGCAGAAATTGCTCTCTAACAATGGAAGCTGCTAGCTTGATTCCCTTAGTGATAATCTGCTCTTAGAGAGGAGGATTGTCATCAACCTTCAGTTTCCAAAACATTCTCTGAGAAAGGTAAAATACCCAGAGATAACATTTTTGTTTCTTCTTGCATTGTTACTCTCTTTTACTCATTTCTAGAACCCTTGCATTATTGACTGCTTGTGGCAAACATCTTAAGATGCCTGACTCAACTCTTATTCTCAATCTTTTTCTCTCCAGCCTCTTTCCAGGTGTGAAAACCTGAGAGCCCAAACCTTCAGAAACACTCCTTTAGCCACAGTTAGGTCCACTCACTTCTTCCTTCAAGAGAGAATCACAAGGAGAACCATAGGGCATCTCAAAGTTGGGGAGAGGGGGTGCTTGGGGAGGGACGGACATTGAGGGAGAGTCAGGGAGGGTATTAGGGGATGGAGTGAGTCAGTCCTTGTTGGTATTGGCTAGAATTCCTAAACTCGGAGACTCGCTACAACAGATCTGATAGTTGGCCTCAGAACTTGTGAATTGTTGTAGAATTATTGTTTGACCTGTTTTTCTGTGGTTGTAGCCAGGACACATGGTTAGGAAGAAGCTGATGTTAACATATTTTGAGCTTAATTAAGTGGTGATCATGCTTGGTTTGACAATTTTTTTTTCTGTTTTGTGAGTAATAGTGAAGTCCATTTTGCAACTGTGGTTTCTGTTTCAGTCCTAAGAGCACTCTTCACAGCTCAGCTGCCAGAGGAATGTTTTTTACTTTATGCTAGGCAGAAGCAGAGATGAGACACAGTTCTGGCTGCTAAGAGCTAAGCAGAAGTTAGCTGTGGTGTTCTTGGGAAAGCTTTTGTTCTCCTGATACAGTTGCCCCTCTTGCTCTCCACCATCCTTGGTAAAATGTAGAACTGATGTCTAGAGCTGTAGGGTCAAGAAAACCATAGATCGAGCAGCCACTGATACTAACTTGTATGTGAAAAATATCAACTATCACTTATCTAAGTAATTATGAATTAAGTTTTATTTTTCTTGGAGCCAAAAGCACCTGCCCTTTCCCTAGTCCCCACTTCTAAAATTAACCAGTACCATCATTTTACCAGAATACAGAAGAACAAATTCCTAAATATGGAAATGACTTTGAAAGAAAAGATAATACTTTTTGGAGTGTATTAAGTTGCATTTTAGTGATGTCCCCTAGAGGTTGAAATCTGGGGACTAAATAGCTGTTTAGAGGCCAAAGCAAATTCATATTGTTAGAGCCAGCACTAGTAAAAAGTGACTCATTAGAATTAGAATCTCCTCTGCTCTTTCCTGTCTAACTCCATTGAAAATATATTAAAAAATACATTTAGAAACAAAATCAGTAAACATCCCAGATAACACAGAGAGCGGAAAAGGAAATGCAAATTGCCCAACTTAAACATAGCCTACAAAATTACCACTTGAGAAATTATGAATAGACTAGATCCTATTCCAGAGTTAGTAATTAAGTCTTCATTATATTTTTGGATGAAGTACATAATCACAGACCCAGTTTTTTTTTAATTCAATGCTTTATTTTCAAGAATATCCAGTTTGATTTTTTTCTTTCAAAGAAAAGAATAAGTAAATGAATTTTCATAAGAACATTTAAATGAGGATTAGGTAGATACATGAAAAATATCTCAAAACTAAATTGACTCTGTTGGAAAGGCGAATGAAAGCAGTCAAGAAGGATGATATGGTTTGGCTCTGTATCCCCACCCAAATCTCAAGTTGATTTGTAATCACCATGTATCAGGGAAGGGGACTGGTGGGAGGTGATTGGATCATGGGGGTGGATTTCCCCCTTACCGTTCTCATGATAGTGAGTGAGTTCTCATGAGATCTGATAGTTTAAAAGTATGGCACTTTCCCCTTCACTCACTCTCTCTCCTGCTGCCATGTAAGATGTGCCTTGCTTCCCCTTTGCCTTCTGCCATGATTATAAGTTTCCTGAAGCCTCTCCAGCTGTGTGGGACTGTGAGTCAATTAAAACTCTTTTCTTTATAAATTATCCAGTCTCAAGCAGTTCGTTATAGCAACGTGAAAATGGACTAAAACAAAAGAGGTCATGAGTTTCTACAAAAGCAGGCTTAAATTTTGCGTTCATAACTTAGATGAAGAAAACATGTAACATTTATCATTTTCTAAAATTTGTCTTCATTCGCTAATTCCCTATTTCTAGTCAGTAGCAGAAAAGATAAATACTTGAACACATACATTTTGGTACTGTAATCACTCCTCCTTTCCGTGTATATTCGGTCAACATGGGAGTTGATCTCAGTCAAAGGTAAACTTCCTTTTGTGGTTGTACTACCATTTCAAGAGTTCTAGATGCCCTAGCATGGCTTGGGTCAGAGTCAGCTTATGCAATACGTTATCACCACAGGGGTGGGATCTGTCCCACCTGCTCCACCAAGGTTCCCTCTGAGCTCCCTGAGAGTCCCCAGCCTGGTCGGCCTTCAGGGTCCCACTTCTGTCCCTGCCACCCACTGTCATGACAACTGCTCCTTCTGGCCTTCAGATATGTCATGGGTATTGCTGGACTTAGGTTCTGGGATCTGTGTTTAAGGTGACAGCTATTCCCAGCATGTCTGAGTCCCATTTGGTTTTAGCATTGAGAGTCCTGCTTCTGGAGAAACCCCTCAGTTCTGGGTAAATTAGGATGGTTGGTGACTATACACACTAGGTCTTCTTTCTCCTAATACCTTCGTCTGATCTACCAGCCATCTAAGCATTTTATAGGCCCTATAGGGACACACAGTGATTTCTATATCTTTTGGAGACTACATAAAGCTGAAATAAATCATGGCATATGTGTTGTTGGGGAGAGGTTAGGCATTAGGGACAGCTTCCTTAGGCTACGCCCCCTTTACTTCAGCATGCCATCCCTCCCTATCTGCTCTACACAGCCACTCAGGCTGACATGAGGCCCTCTACACATTAGACCCTCAAAGGCCATCATAGGATTCCTAAGTCTCTGCTGTATAAACCAAATATAAAATTCTAAGCCATCATACTGACTGATGAACCCTCCCCTTAGCCAAAGACATTCCAAATAATCCTGAAAAAAAAAAAAAAAAAAACTAGTTTAGGTCAGACATGCCTCACAAACATCAACACAGAGACCTTAAGACTGATAGAATAGTCTCTTTAAGTCTGATAAGAAACATCTACAATCCATTCTCTCTGAAGACTGCTACCTGGAGGCTTCATCTGGATGATCAAAGTTGGGTCCCCATGACTGCTTATCCTAACCCAGACATTCCTTTCTATTAATTCCATGTCTTTAAATAATAACTCTTTCAACCAATTGCCAATCGGAAAATATTTAAATCTACCTATCACCTGGGAGCCCCTGCTTTGAGTTGTCCCACCTTTCCAGATGGAACCAACATACATCTTACATATATTGACTGTTGTCTCATGTCTCCCTAAAATGTATAAAACCAAGTCACACCCCAACCACCTTGGCCACATGTCCTCAGATCTTCCTGAGGATGTGTCATGGGAATGTCCTTAACCTCAGCAAAATAAACTAAATTGATTGAGACTTCTCTCAGATTCTTTTTTGGCTTAGGGTTGAGATTTATTCAGTCAACAAATACTTCTTGAAGATCACACCAACCAGCAGACAGTACCTCCTGGGACTGAATGCTGAGGTGACGAAGGGAGGGTGATTGATCAGACTCTACACTGTTTTAATGGTTGTTTGGCTTTTATGTCTTAACACTTACAATGCCTCTGTTTTGCTCTCAAAAATATAGCTTTTTCCAATCAAAAGCTACTTGGTTTTAGACTACTTTTCCAAAATTAAATCCACATGTTTCTTAATTTTCTGTTTCAGTCCAGACTCTAGAGGTGAATTATCCCAGAACCTACTTTATATGATAATTGTATAACCATTGATCCACTGGTAAGACAGCCATAGAGTAAGAAAAAAAAAATTTTATTAGTGTTTCTTTAGTGATGGTTTTTATGACAGATTTCCTTTCTCTTTCACCTGAATCTTGCTGACTCCAAACTGCTACCCTCTAGGTCGGACACCTCCTTTTTTCATACATTTCCAGGTTGACCATCTCCTTCTCTTTTTTTCTTTAGAAATGTTAATGTCATCATTTAAGCTGGCGTCAAACTGTGCAGGCATTTCTCTTACTTTGGGAAATATTTTGTCTTTTACCATTAGGTGCTTATTTCATTACGCATACTGTAGGCTTCTGGAAATACCTTACTTTCATTCATGATAATTATTGATAAGAGGTAAAGGGGGCAGAAAGTCTCCCAGATAAATTCACGTTATTCAAAACTCTACATTTGCTCAATCCTGACATCGTTGTGACTGTGATCCCATCAAACTACAAATAATCAAAGAACAGGTTGGCTGAAGCTAATTCTGAAAGAACTTGAGCCAACAAGCAATTTTTCATAAGTGAAACTGGATTTCCTTTTAGAGACTGTGCTTCGGACAAAAGCTCTTGCGTCCTAAAACCTAATCCCCAACTTAAACATATAGAAAAACGTCAGTTTTCTCATGGGGTCATCCTATTGTGATTCTTTCAGGTAGATACGTTCATCTTGTCCCTTCACCTTAACTCGGTTTATTTCCCATATTGGATTCCACTGATTTTTATGTTGCAAATCGCTATGCTCTATCTTAGTTTCTGATAAATGAAACTACTGGCAATTTCTGAGAAGTCCCATTTCATCATGCTAAATCTGACTTATTCATAATATTAGATGTGTGACTCTTTATTTAAACTTTATTGGCCTTCCATGCTAACTCCAGTCTTTCATTTGATCTTTAGCTTCCTTTGGTTTCTTTTAGAAGGGAGGAGCTTCCTGTTTATACATAAACATTTAAGCCATGGGCATCTTTCTAGCACAAAAACATCAGCTCAATGACCTAAAAGTATCACATACCCAGGCGAACCCATGTTCAAGTCAGTTGCCTCTCTGAAGTGATTTCAAAGTGATTTTATTTTAAGTACAAATAGAATACTAGAGTGACAAAAACATATTCTTTTTTAAAAAAAGGTAGTGAAATGCCAGAGGAGATAACTCTCCTAAGAAATAAAGGAAAAGAAAAAAGTTGAATTAGCCATTTTAAGATTCAACAGCAGCTGTATTCTTCTTTGATGCATTGCATGTATTAGGACAAAAGAAAACTATATTTGCTTTTGGCATGGCATATAGCTGTGCTTTGACATTTAAATCCCAAGGAAGGCTTAGTGCATTAAAGTAATGTCAGAAAAACAGTTATATGTTTGAAGATAAGCAGAAAGGAAATAGATAAATAGTTTTAACATGTAGCTAAATCAACTACGGAGAGATTTAAATAAGCCAATCGATTTTATTTCTTGCTTTTGATATCATATTACCTGCAAAATAAAAATAAGAGCAATTGATTTTAAAACATTTAAAATATCTTTCTTAACAAGTG
This sequence comes from Homo sapiens, assembly GCF_000001405.40. NCBI lineage: Eukaryota > Metazoa > Chordata > Mammalia > Primates > Hominidae > Homo > Homo sapiens. The sequence continues at coordinate 147,405,326 of NC_000007.14, forward strand.
CTTTCTTCTTAAAATAATTGTTTTTGTCAATTACTTGAATACATTGCAGTTACGATTTCACACTAAGAATTCATTTAACTGCTCTCCCCTAAACCAAGATTACAGACTCATGGACATGTACCATTCTTTTTGTAAAATATTGGGACTGATACAACTTAATGAAGGGGAAGTTGGAGCTTGTAGGACACTATCCTTCATTTGCTATATGCTCCCTAACATGCTGTGTGGGAGTCAGTTGTTCATTCCTGAAAATGCATATGCAAGTCATACTTGTTACTGTAATAACATGGTTTAATTAAGTACTAAGTACATTTTCAAATGAGCAGAGACAGAAAAAAGTTTCTGGTAAAATCAAATGTAAAAGTTTTAGAAAGACAAGTGGCTCAAAACAAACACAAAACCATAAGTTTATGTGTGGGCCTAGACAACTGTAAACATTTGCAGAGATTCATAAAGCCCAAGGTGAACTCACTGAAATTCATTGGCGATTTTAGTTTTCGCTGCACTTGAAACCAAAACTGAAAAATGAAGGTGATACTATATGGAAATGGTTTGATAAAAAGGCCGGTGGATTGAACTACAGACTTCAAATAAGTCTTCAAAAAAGTCTTTGGGTGAACTCACACCCAAAGGCCCCAGAGTAATTCCCTCTAACAACGAGTCATTGAGGTGACATAATGTAGGTTTTCAGTTAAATTAAAATGGTTAAGGTGTGTATCTTTTTAATGACATTTCTTTACTGGATTTCATTAAACCCAACATATTGAAGACTTGTATCATTCCCCAATCTGAATAAAAGGAGAGTTCATTATTTCTTTTTGCTTTCTCTTTTTGAGGAGTCTTTGCATTCCAAATACAGAGAAAAAAGAAAAGGAAAGGAGAGGAGAGGAGGGGAGGAAGGACAATCTGTTACATCACATTGTTATCTGGTTTATTAGTATAAGACTCTTTTACTTTCATTAAATGTCAGGAGTAAAAATTTACAATGGTATTTATTATAGCATTTGAAAATAACATTTTGTTTGAATTTTTTTCTTTGGTATTTAAATGATCTATAAGCTGAAAAGAAGAGGAGTCATAGATTTTTCTATGCCAAGAAAAAAACAGTTTTAAAAAGATGAAGTTGTCATTTTCATTTTGTTTGATTAAAAACACATATTTCCATTTCCTCTTTGTATTGTTGTATCTATACTGCCCAAAAACTAGTTTTAAGAGGGCAACAAGCTTAGTTTTTCAGATAGCATTGTCTAAAATTCTCATGGCACCCATTGCTATATTAGAGATAAGTACTTTGTTGTCTTTGCCTATGAATTCATTGAGGAATATTAGAGTCTGAATCTTGTTTTGTTTACCAAATCCTGCTTACATCAAAAAGAATGTTACATGAGTAAGAAAGGAATGCAGATGGAAGGGGTGAGGAGTATGTGTGTGTTTATTTGAAATGGTTTTGAAAAATGAGTCTGTAATAAATTTTAACAAATTACGGTATCTGAAAAGGGTGTCTTAATCAGTAAACAGGTTGATTTAAATAGACCATTATCTACAATTGTGATCAGGGTAAAACCACTAAGTACCATACAACATTTGTGTATAGCATTAACTTTGTTTGCCTTCAACGAGTCGCAGCTGTTATACTTTTACTGTGATAGTTTCATGATTTTTGCTTCTTTGGCATAGTCCCAGACAGGCTTCATCAACAAGAAACTTATCTTCATGAACACACTTCAGTGAAGACCCCCCCCTCTGGGAAATTAGACATGACATAAAAGTGCATTGCTTTTTTAAAACACTTCAGGCATTTGAAAATTACAAGAGAAATTTTCAAGTGGCACTTCCTAAGTTAGAAATACCATACACATAAGGCCGGGTGCAGTGGCTCACGCCTGTGATCCCAGCACTTTGGGAGGCCGAGGCGGGCAGATCACGAGGTCAGGAGATCGAGACCATCCTGGCTAACATGGTGAAACCCCGTCTCTCCTAAAAATACAAAAAATTAGCCGGGCGTGGTGGCGGGCGCCTGTAGTCCCAGCTACTCGGGAGGCTGAGGCAGAAGAATGGCGTGAACCCGGGAGGTGGAGGTTGCAGTGAGCCGAGATCATGCCACTGCACTCCAGCCTGGGCAACAGAGCGAGACTCCCTCTCAAAAAAAAAAAAAAAAAAAAAAAAAAAAAAAAAAAAAGAAATACCATACACATGAAGGCAAGTTTCTCTCACATAGTTATTATAGGACACTTGTTAATCTCCTATGAAGGTCAAGGCCACTGGTACTAAACTACACAATGAGAAAACCAAAAGTTACAGGATAGGATCTCTTCTCCCAGAACAGGTACTGATGTAGCCTAGAGACAGTAAACATTCACAAGAAATGTTAAAACTATGTTAAGAAGCATGTAAGCATTTGCTTCTTAATTGTTACAGATAATGATTTCTATAGAAAATTAATAAGAGGAATAAAACCACTATCAGCTGCGTGGTTAATGAAAACCGCATAAAAGAAGTAGGTTGAACTTCAGAGGAGCATTAGCCTCGGATGATGAGAAAGAAAGGCAGGAACATGCCAGGCAAAATCAGAGGCATGAGCAGAAGTGTGGAGGCACAGATAACCATGTCCCATTTCTGAAACAGTCAAGAGATCATTTAAACTACAGCAACATGTTTGTATAGGAGAGTCATGGAAAAGTTGAAAAGATCTATTTTTCATTTATTCATTTATCCATTCATTCTACAATGTTTCATTGATTGCATACCATGTGTCCAAGGACAGTTTTAGCCTTGAAGAATAATTTGTAAACTTATGGATTCTACTTTCTTACTGATTTATGAAAGAGTTAGACATCAGAAAAAGCACACACACACACATACCCCATGGAATTGTTGGAAAAAAACACACAAACGCCAAAATCAAAGTATGCACAAGGGATCTTGTGCCTAATTCTCCCTGGGATCTAGGTTGGGATGGAGATGGCAGAGGAGCAGTTCAAGGCACATGCTATAGGCATTCCAGGGAGCTGGAAAGTACATGGGTGTGAATGACTTGAGTACGTGCAGTAAACTCAAGGATTTACAGTAGGTTCTTTCACAGACTGGCAGCTACTAGTGAGGGAAGATTTGAAGCTAGGAATTTAGGGGGATCCTAATGAAAGAGGACCTTGCGGCCGGGTGTGGTGGCTCACGCCTCTAATCCCGGCACTTTGGGAGGCTGACGCGGGCGGATCACGAGGTCAGGAGATCGAGACCATCCTGGCTAACACGGTGAAACCCTGTCTCTAAAAAATATAAAAAATTAGCCAGGCGTGGTGGCGGGCGCCTGTAGTCCCAGCTACTCGGGAGGCTGAGGCAGGAGAATGGTGTGAACCCGGGAGGCGGAGCTTGCAGTGAGCGAAGATTGTGCCACTGCACTCCAGCCTGGGCGACAGAGCGAGACTCCATCTCAATAATAATAAAAAAAAGAGGACGTTGCATTACTAGAAAGACTGTAATTTATCCTTTGAGCAATACGCAGCCATTGAGGGATTTTCAGGAAAATCAAGTTTTGCATGACTAACACTTGTTCTGATTACCTGGGCAGAGGTGATGAGAAATGAATTACTGCAGTAGAACCAGGTGAAAAAGGAAATATCCAAGGTATTTAGGAGTTGGACTGAGGAGAGAGGGCTCATTAGATGTGGAAACCGGAAAAGGTATTGGCTAGAAAGAGAAACTGGTTTCAGAGTAAGAAAAGGCTTTAATGAAAGATTGTTATATTCACTAGTCTCCCCAAACAATGTCTTAACTGACTATTTGTTTAGTAGTGGGTCTACCGGTTAGGGTAAGATTTTACTGGGATCTGGAAGATGGTGAAAACCAGTAGCAGCAATTGAGCAATAGAGAGTGGTAAAAGAGAAAATTAAAATAGAGGCAGAATTGAGATAGAAGTGCAGGTACACTTAGAACGATCTGATCTTTGACAAAGCTGACAAATATAAGCAATGGAAAAAGGAATCCCTATTCAATAAATGGTGCTGGGATAACTGGCTAGCCATATGCAGAAAATTAAAACTGGACCCCTTCCTTACACAATATACAAAAATTAACTCAAGATAGATTAAAGAATTAAATGTAAAACCCAAAACTATAAACACTTTGCAATACAACATATGCAGTACCATTCAGGACATAGGCATGGGCAAAGGTTTCATGACGAAGACACAAAAGCAATTGCAACACAAGCAAAATTTGACAAACATGATGAAATTAAACTAAGGATCCTCTGCACAGCAAAAGAAACTATCATCAGAGTGAACAGACAAGCTACAGAATGGGAGAAAATTTTTGCAAACTATGCATCTGACAAAAGTCTAATATCCAGCATCTAATAGGAACTGAAACAAATTTACAAGAAGAAACACAATCCCACTAAAAAGTGGGCAAAGGACGTGAACAGACACTTTTCACAAGAAGACATACTTGAGATGAACCATCATGAAAAAAAAAAAAACCTCAACATCACTGATCATTAGAGAAATGCAAATCAAAACCACAATAAGATACCATCTCAGGCTAGTCAAAATGGCTATTATTAAAACGTCAGAAAATAACAAATACTGGCAATGCTTTGGGAAAAAAAGGAATGCTTATACACTACCGGTGGAAATGTAAATTAGTTCAACCATTGTGGAATACAATGTGGTAATTCCTCAAAGATCTAAAGACAGAAATACCGTTTGATTCAGCCATCCCATTACTGGGTATGTAACCAAAGAATATAAATCATTCTATTAGAAAGACAATCCATGCAGACATTCATTGCAGCCCTATTCACAATAGCAAAGACATGGAATCAACCTAAATGCCCATCAGTGATAAAATGTGGTACATATACACCATGGAATACTATGCAGCCATAACAAATAATAAGATTATATCTCTTGTGGGAACATGAATGGAGCTGGAGGCCATTATCCTTAGCAAACTAACACAGGAACAGAAAACCAAATGTCACATGTTCTCACTTATAAGTGGGAGCTAACTAATGAGAACACATGGACACATAGAGGGGAAAACCACACACTGGGGCCTGTCAGAGAGTGAAGGATGGGAGGAGGGAGAGGATCAGGAAAAATAACTAATGGGTACTAGGCTCATTACCTAGGTGATGAAATAATCTGTACAACAAACACCCATGACACTAGTTTACCTGTGTAACAAACCTGCACATGAGCACCTGAACTTAAAGTTAAAACAAAACAAAAACAACCACAAAGAAATGCAGGTAGTGAGATACTGGATTAAAAAGGAAAGCAGAAGATGTGCAGAGCTATACTCTCTAATACTGCAGCCACTAGCCATATGTGGCTATTTCACACTTAAAAAGCAGCTGTTCTAACTGAGACGTGATGTTAGTGTAAAATGCACAACAGATTGTGAATACTTCATACACACACAGGAATATAAGACAGCTCATTGATCATTTTTGTATTCATTTTATTTTGTGTTAAATAAAATATTAATATTATTGTCACCTCCATAAGATTTTAAGCTACATATGGCATGTGGCTCACAAGTTATTAATATTAGTGCTGTTCTGGAATCTTTCTCTAGGTAGTTCCAGCTGGATGCTGTATTGCAAGAATGAGTGCCCTAGCTTCTTTGTTGGTCTTGTCCACAGATGAGTAAAGAGATCCTCGCAACTTCTGATAGGACTCAACAAGTTGTCCTTTATAACTGTTTTATCTCAGAGACAATGCAGATCCCCAGAATGTCTGTGAAACTGGCATCATTCTGAAATCACAGTCCCTTTTCATTAGTTAGAAGTTTTCTTAAGCCTAAGTGTATTTGCAATACCATCTCCAGAGAATATCTTTACAGACTTAGAAGCCAGATGTGTTGGTTTTCTCCCAGAATATTAATTCCCTGTTCATTAAAAATAAAATAAGAAGTATTCAATGGGAAAAAAAATGTGGCCTAAATTAAGATGGTATTTTAATTGAGCACAAGTTAGAACTTTCCTGGCTCAAAGATTAATTTTTTCTAGTAAAGTATCTGTCAGTTACACAACTGTGTATAATTCATCATCCTTGAAGTGAAAGTTTGGGTCTCAGTAAGAAAGTGCTTTCAGCTGTTAGGAACAGAGACCCAATCAGTTTTCCAGGCAAATCTGAAGTTTATTTCTGCACATGTAAGATGTCTGAAATAGACAATTCAGGCTTTGTATAATATATCTAGAAAGCGATCCGAGACCCAGACTCAAACATTCTGCTCCAGTTTCCTTAGCTCATGGTTTCTATTTTCCCAGTGATTAAGATTGCTGCTAGAACTCCAGAAATTTCATCTGATTTTCATAAAGAAAGTAGGAGGGTCCACCTTCCGTTTTAAAAAGCCATTCCAGAAGTTCCGTGCAACATTTTCAATCATATCTCATTAGCCAGATTTAATCACAACCACAGAGTTGCAAGATAGACTGAGAATTACAGTTTCATTCTAGGTGGTAATATGCCTGCTAAAACTTTGAGGATTATCACTAGGAAGGAAGAGGAAAATCTGTAATGAGATAGATAGCACTCTCTGCCCAGTTGATGTTTCGAAAGATTATAAAATATAAATAGTAAAAAAGTGCATGCTTCCAGAAAAAAATATTTGATGCAGCATTTATCTTATTCAAACCATATATTTTATATTTTTCCTCCAAAAATTTAAAATATAGTTATCAAACTTCAGGCTTAGACAATCGACATTTTAGGGTATTCAAGAGTGAAGATGATCCAGCCTCCCTTCAAGGATTTCATAAGAGAGTGGCAGAGGTATCTAGTTCTTATTCTGACCTCCTACTCGAAATTCATCAGTAACTTCTTATTGCCCTTAAGAAAAAGACCCAGATCCTTAAAAGCAGTGTATTAGCCTCTTGTGGTCTGGCCTTTGTCTTCCTTTGCAGCTTCATCTCACATCACTCTCCTCCATCCCCTCTAGCCACGCTGGCCTGTGCTCAGTGCCTCAGATGTTCTTTCAGTGGGGCCCCTGCCTGTACTGATCTCTGGGTCTAGAATTGCTTCACCCCACCACCCATCTCTGTCTCTGTCTCTTGCTTTCTTATCCTTCATATCTCAATTCATAGATAAACTCCATTAGGGGAGCCATCTCAGGATCTGTAAGACTGGGTTAGGCACTTTTTAACCTGTTTATAATCACACATTCAAGACTGTAATTACATCTTTTCTTCTTCTAGACTTTGAGCTTCCCAAGAATGGGAAACAGGCCTGAGCTCATGCCCCACTGTGTCTCTGTGCCTAACACAGTGCTTGATACGCAATATGTTCTAAATACATTTTTTATAGAATGAATGGAAAAATATAATAGTAGCATAAAAAAGGACTATGAAATTATAAAGAAGGAAAAGAACAATTCTAAATGGAGGGATTTAGCAATGCTTTATGAGTGAAATAGAATTAAAACTGGTCCTTCCAGGACAGAAAGGCTCATATCAGATAATATAGGGCAAGGCTGTCTTGGAAAAATGGACTATATAAACTAAGGCATGTGACACAGCTGAAATAAGAAGTTGCCCAAAATTCTCAGAATGCCTGAGAAAACATTCTAAGAATTTATGCTTTAGTCTGTAGTCCAAGGAATTCATAAACTTTTGGAATGTGCATACATGTTTGTGGTTAAGTGTACACATTCCAGAGACACTGTCATCACATTTTGCCTGTTAGAATGGAAACTCGTGTCAACTCATTCATTCTTAAAACTCTCCTACCAGTGTCTTCCCACCTATCCTCTTCGAGTCAATGGTCAGAAAATTCTAGAAGTGCATACATCGGAAAAGAGTTTACTGGAAATAGTTTTAAAATAATGGCTTAGAGTCAAGGAATGCTCTACACCCTTCTACTTTGCCAGTGAATTGAGTAAGAAAACAGCTGGTTTCTATCGAAAAATTTACTGTAGAGTGTTTTCTTCATGGAGAAACTAGATTTTGGATGTCACGAGGGAATGGAAGCGTTGGAGAAAAGTATTCAAGGTAAAACAGTAGCTTGTTCCAACACAACAGGCTTTCCCCTAAGACAACACTCTCTAAAGAAGTCCTGGAAAGGAAAATGAGAATGTGGTAGGGCGGTTGATACAGATCAGTAAGGAAATGAAAGTCCAAAAGTTATTTACATGGTAAACATCTGTGCCAAGAGGAGTACTCTCAATAACAGGGATTAGTGAGAGAGCAGTTGGCTGGAGATGGAAGCTCAGGCAGGTGAGCGTGGGGTGCAGAGAAAAAAAAATGTATGAAGAATAAATCAATATTTTTTTGAGAATGAGTATTTTAGTTCAGTACTTCTCAATATTTTAGGTGCATACAGATCATCTGGGATCTTGTCAAAACAGGTTTGGCTCAGTGTGATTGAAGAGAACACTGGGATTCTGCTTTTCTAACAAGCTTCAAAATGCTGTTGCTGCAGCTGCTTGTGGGCCACATCTTGAACACAGCAGAGCTCCAGCCTCTGCATCTGGGCCCCCAGATACATGAAAAATGCAGCTCAGGTAGTGACAAAAAAGATCAGTGATGTGGGCCTTTGGTGTGTTATGGTTTATAAAACAGAAAAGCCTATTTTCTTTTCCCTTACCATTTCCAGGGAAAATAAAGTAATGGGGATGATGTAGAAATCACCTGAAATAGTCTGGCACAGTGCTTGCAAGGCTGTAGGAACCAACTGAAGTTTGCTCAAAGCTTTATGTACTTCTGTTTCTCACTTGTATCACCTGTTATCTTTGGAGTGTCATGTTTTACGTTACATATTAGCAATGGAAACAGAAAATGGTTTTTCAATCACTCACTGTGTCTATGCATAGAAAGGCTGGGCGCAGTGGCTCACACCTGTAATCCCAGCACTTTGGGAGGCCAAGGCAGGCCGATCGCTTGCGATCAGGAGTTCGAGACCAGCTTGGCCAACATGCTGAAACCCGTGTCTGCTAAAAATATAAAGATTAGCTGGGCTCTGTGGCAGGTGACTGTGATCCCAGCTACTCAGGAGGCTGAGGCAGGAGAATTGCTTGTACCTGGGAGGCAGGGGCTGCAATGAGCTGAGACTGTGGTATTGCACTCCAGTCTGGGCAACAGAGCAAGAGTCTGTCTCAAAAACATTAAAAAAAAAAAAAAAAAAAGGATGCCAACAATATAATATAACAAAATATCTAAATGTGTAGTTGTTTGATACTTATTGACTGACTTATTTTTTGATTCACTATCAGCAGCTTTTTCTTAATTTGGCTCTTTCATTGCAAGGAACTGTAAGTCAGAGTTCTTAGTTATGAATAAACAAACTAAAAAGACAGATGCAATAAAATTCAAATGAATTTAAGAAATGGATTCTCCCAGGTGCGGTGGCTCACGCCTGTAATCCCAGCACTTTGGGAGGCCAAGGTGGGCGGATCACGAGGTCAGGAGATCGAGACTATCCTGGCTAACAAGGTGAAACCCCGTCTCTACTAAAAATACAAAAAATTAGCTGGGCGAGGTGGTGGGCGCCTGTAGTCCCAGCTACGCGGGAGGCTGAGGCAGGAGAATGGCGTGAACCTTGGGGGGTGGAGCCTGCAGTGAGCCGAGATCGCGCCACTGCACTCCAGCCTGGGTGAAAGAGAGAGACTCCTTCTCAAAAAAAAAAAAAAAAAAAAAAGAAAAGAAAAAAAAGAAATGGATTCTCTATCTGAGAACTGATAGAAAACAGAACCCAAAGAGGGCAAGACAAAGTCAAGGCTCTATCACCTGTCACCAGAACACAATGTTCTAGACTCCCCTCAGCCATACAGAATAATCCCTAAAGCCCTACACCTTTGTATACCTCCCTCAAAATGTGGTTTCAGGTGGGAGCATACAATTGCTTATGCTGACACCTCTTTCAGAGCTCTCACCCTTATTCTCCCACCTTGGTCTGTCTTATTAAAGGGTGCTGCCCTGCCTTCCACTTAATTTGAAATTTCTTTCTAATAGACATGTCTTCTACAGAGATCAGTTCAAGCTAGTCCAATTGATAAGGTTAGGCTTTGTGTCCCTACCCAAATCTCATCTTGAATTGTCATCCCCATAATCCCCACGTGTCAAGGGAGAGACCAGGTGGAGGTAATTGAATCATGGGCATGGTTTCCCCCATGCTGTTCTTGATAGTGAGCTCTCACGAGATCTGATGACTTTTTAAGCGGCTCTTCTTCTTTCACTCATCACTTCTCCTTCCTGCCGCCTTCTGAAGAAAGTGCCTTGCTTCCCCTTCACCTTCGGCCATGATTGTGTTTCCTGAGGTCTCCCTAGCCATGCTGAACTGTGAGTCAATTACACCTCTTTCCTTTATAAATTACCCAGTCTCAGGTAGTTTTTTATAGCAGTAAAAAAATGGACCAATACACCAAGTAAGAACAACTTGTAAAGCTACACATGGAATGATTAGGAAAAAAAATGTGAAAATTCATAACAAGGGAGCATAACCATTGAATGACCATATCATTTGCCGTTAAACCGGGCCTTTTTTAATCATGGAAGGAGTGTAACAAGTGTGAACTGATTCTACACCGGACAGGCCAAGGTGCATGGTCACCTTACCTAATAAGTGTGAGCCCTCCTGTGGCTTATACTAGAGAAACTTCTTGATTCAATAGAGCTTTAAAGGTATGCATTCATGGATCTCCACCCAAACGCCCTGCATTAAAATATCTGAGCTGTATTGCACTTATCTGTTTCCTTTAATCCCAAACCAACTGAATTTCTCTGCTTATAGTTTTTGCAGTCTTATAAATTCTGTGATGGGCATATGTTGCTTACTTTCTCAGCAATGACTTCCTGTGGGTGATTCACACCCTATTTCTTTCCATCAGCCTCTGTTTTCTGTTTGGGTTCAGAGAAGTTGATTTGTCTTCAATTACAATCAGTTTCTCAACCTGTGGCCACAGGGACTATTTCAAGAACATTCCCATGATTAAGGCCACACAGCCTGAAACTCATGCGTGATCATGAGCAGCTTGGCCTTGGACTGAAGACAAAGTGGAGAACACAATCAGAAAGAGAAATAAACCACAATCTTGGTGGCTGTCAAGCCACTGGATCAAGTCTACACCCAACTCCACATTGAGCCAATAAAGTTCCTTTTTTTGTGAGTGCAGACTTAGTTGGGTTTTTGGTTTACAGCCGAAACCATCAGAACCAATACAACTCCAGTGTTCACAGTGCCCCATATTTTGTCCTGAGATCCCTCCACAGTCCCCTTTGTTTCAGAATGGCCAACTGTTTTCATATCTTATTTCAAATTTAAGAAAGGAAATTCGTTGGCTCGATTTATCTTTTATCTCCAGAATCTAGTAATATGTTGCTCATCAACATATGGTTCGGCTGCTAGGTCAAGTGCCCAGCCATAAACCAGCCTCTGGGGCTGGATGGGAGGGCTGCTGTTCTTCTCTGAAGACCTGTATCCATTTTCCTGCCTTGCAGATACCAGTAGGACCAGTATTAGGACATCTGCATAAGATTTAATTTTAGAGGCCGTGTGCAGTGGCTCAGTAATCCTAGCACTTTGGGAGGCCAAGGCAGGCAGATCACCTGAGTTCAGGAGTTTGAGACCAGACTGGCCAACATGGTGAAACCCCATCTCTACTAAAAATACAAAAATTAGCCTGGCATAGTGGTGTGCACCTATAATCCCAGCTACTCAGGAGGCTGAGGCAGCAGAATTGCTTGAACCCAAGAGGCAGAGGTTGCAGTGAGCCGAGATTGCGCCACTGCACTCCAGCCTAAGCGACAGAGCAAGACTCTGGTCTCAAAAAAAAAAAAAAAAAGATTCAATTTTATGCTGCATATTCATTATCATCTTTGCCTTTTGACTGTATCATCTCAACCACGGTTATGTATCACAGAGGCTTAGAATATTATAACTCATTGTTTTAGTTTATCCAGGCTGCTATAACAGAATACCATAGACTAGCTCATAAACGATAGAAATTTATTTCTCGCAGTTGTGGAGGCTGGGAAGCCTGAGTTGAAAGCGCTGGCAGATCTGGCATCTGGTGAAGGCTTGCTTCCCAGGTCATGGATGGCCATCTTCTTGCAGTGTTCTCACATGCTAGGCAGGCAAAGGAGCTCTCTGGAATTTCTTTTTTTAAATAACAGCATTAATCCTATTCGTGAAAGTGGGGCCCTCCTAAAAGCCCCATCTCCTAATACCATCACACTGGGGATTGGGTTTCAATATATGAATTTTGGCGGGGACATAAACATTCAGTCTCTAACATTCACCTTTTGCACATTAGAGAACGTCTACAAAGAAAACGTTAAATTTTAGTTTTGGAAAACTTCCTTTCCTTTTCTCATTTTTATTCTTTCCTTTAGCAATGTAATTATTATTGTATGGAACCCGTATCTGATGATGGTGAGTTTAAATGGATCAAAATTATTGTTCCTTAAAAGCAACACCAAAATTTTATAAGATATGCTGCATACTAATTAAAGCTCAAGGAGCCCCAGGCAAGAAAGAAAGATAAGCCATTGCTTAAGTTATGCAAAAGTGTATTAAATATTTGAGATTAATTAAAATCTAGAGAAAGTTTTTTAAGAGTTCCATTTAAAGTTTGCATAAAAGTTCACGCAATTATTATAAAACATTTGCTATCAAACTGGTTTGATGAATAAGGGAAGTCAATTAGTAACATAGTGAAATAAGAGTTAATTCATGTTTCTCTAGGTAATTTCTTTCCTTTGTTCTGTAAAAGTCATTTATAACTACATAATAGTACAATCATACAATAACAATTATATGCCAATACCCACTGTTTTACAAAGCGATGGAAAGCATAGTTCTATGGTACTTACTTATTTTCTAAGTGAATAATATTCTTCTTAAACCCATCCTGAAAATTTCTACAATAAAAGATTCATTGATGGAAAGTCAAAAAGTTTGATTTCTGGTGGTTTTTGTTGTTCATAAAGGAAATGAAAGCACAGCTTTTACTGAGCAGGTGGTTCCTGGTGTGTGAGCCCTTAATGGAAGAATGATCTGTGTCAACAGGACTGGGAAAGTTCTGATTCTGACTTCTGAAATTGACCTTTATTCTCCATTTCAGAACACATAAGCCACGGTATCCCTTTTATTATATAGACATCGATATGAAGAGAACAAATAAAGTCACACCAAGAATGTCTGGGCTTGTTCATCTTACACAATTTATTATTTTTGAGGCTATCACTTAGTGGGGAAAAATTTTCCTGCACCCTAATGTAAAATTGCAAATGTGTTTCCCCAGAGTAATGATAGTCTAAAAATGAGGGACAGTGAGTCGTAATTAGGATTAGGCTTGGGAAACAAGTTCACTTATATTATAGCATGTTGCTATGGCAAAAGGAAAAATATGGTCTGATTTTCAAACAATTGACTGGCAAATGGGCTTATCCCATGCCATCTATTAATAATCAATACAGCTTATTCAAAGGACAAAAGTCACTTTCTCTATAAAAGAAAGTGGGACAAATTTAACAACGGTCTACTTTACTGCAAGTTAGGATAGAATCTAGAGGTAAGTAAAAAGCTTTAGGTAATGTCTTCAAGCCTCGAAGCACCAGCTTTATTCTCACCGGGGAACAAAGTCTAAAGAAACTTTCATGACCACTGTGTCTGATAAAGAATGAAAATTCTGCTGAACTCAGTGGTGAACGTACTCATTATTAAACGGACTCAGAAATACTGTGGTTCAAAGCATGCTTCCTAAAAATAAAACCAATATAATCTATGAAGAAAGATTTCCAATGCCAAAAAAATTTCAATGAGCATTCAAAGGTTGAATCCATAGCCACCACATGAAATATGATATAAGCAAGTCAGTAAGAGCCACTGAAGTGTACGGTTTCAGAGTGAATGTTTGTTTCCCAGGGAGGAGAATCCAGGCCTTCCTCTCTTCTCTCTATGCCCTGCCTGCCCTGCTGTCTTCCAGCCTGCAGGCAAGTTCCCTGTTGCTTTCAAGCTGGAGCTTGGCACCACAGGAGTCCCTGCTTGCCCTCTCATTCCCACCACCAAAGCCTCCTGGCAGCATTTTTAGCTGTGTGGGCCTTATATTCAACAACAAAGATGAAGATATATGGCTAGGAGTATAGGAGAAATTATGTTCTTGATATTTATTTGGAATATTAAAAAGAACAAAAAAATGAGCTCTATGTTCTACATCACATCATACTGTCTAGCAAGATGCCTTATTTTTATTTAATAATTTCATTTATAAATTGCCTCTTTACAATTATGATTGAAGACTGAGACCAAGGGAAAAAGAAGGCAGAAGTTACAATATTTCCTGTGCCTGAGCTTAAATTTTGGCTTCCAGTTTCTTGGAAGCTTTCTTACAGGGTTAGCATACATCTCAGCTGGAGTTTCCCATTTAGATTATCTACCAGTGTTTTTGTAGGTGTTGGCTTAGTATATTACCAACATTACTGCATCAAATTTGAAAATAATTCTTCTTGATCTGGTCCCAGATTTGATCCAAGAAGCACATGAGTCTGCAGGATGTATTCAGACTCAAAGTTCTAGAATAGTTATAGATTGTGATCTCTCCAAAACTCTCTAATCTGGGTGTCATTAGGTATTTCTTGAGTCTTTGCTATGCCACTTGCTGTGCTGGGTGGATCACTAGCAGCAGTCAAATTTCCTTCCCGACCCAGACATCTTATCAAATAAAGCTTAGAGGCAGAGATTCCACTAGACACACAGGGCCACGAGTTAATCTTTGTGAATAATTTCATTGTTAACTATTGGGACAAGGTACAAAAAACAAAAACAGAAACTTGCTAATGGAATACACTTTCTAAGATTATAAATTGCACCATTTGCCAAATGTATACTGTTAGAAATGAGAGCAATAATTTGCACTTACTGTAAGTCCAGCATACGGAGAGGGTCATATGTTGAAATGCCATCTCTATTGAGGTGTCATAAAAAATATTTCCTCCAGCAGCACCCAGTCATTCTAAGGTATTAGGTATAATTTTTAAAGTATTATTTGGTGTTCTGAATACCAAAAAAGTACATCTTGAGTACCACAATTGGTGACATTAAAGTTAATTATTTTCATTAAATATTGCAGTGCTGTCATGAGGAATGAAACAGAAGAGCAAAATGAGGTTAGAGATGGGATGTGTTCAACATTGCTCCCCAAGTATTTCCAAATAATTAATGTATTCATTGAATGATATTTATTGAGGGTCAGAAAAAGTGCCATGGTATTTGATACAGCAAAAGATCACATTTATGATTTCATTCTGTCACTTTCTGCAACAGGTAGCATCCCCTTGCCAGCACCAAGGCAGGGTTGCATATTTGAAAGTTACTCCCTCAAAAAATTCATTTAAATAAATAGATTTTTTTAAAGAAATTATGAAATACTAACGTTGCATTCAGTTAGTGATTTTATATGGTGTAGGATTGACATTAAAAAATACTTGTCATTAATTTTACTCTGTATTAATGTTATATTAATAATTTCTGAAAGTAACCAACCATTCTAACTGCAGAACCCAGCTGTGGACATGAGTTTCTAGGGGAGGACTCTGAAATTGTGTCAATGTTTGTAATCTAGTCCTCGGAGAATACAAAATTTTTGACAAAGAAGGAGGTTAAGGAGTGTTTTCTTTTTGATGTTCACCTCCAAAGGAGGATCATAAAGAAGTAATTCTTGAAAAGTATTGCAATGCAGTCTTCACAAAAAAAGCTTATCCCTGAAGTACAGAAACACACTTAAAAGGAACATAGATGAAATCTCTATTCAAAGAGTTTGGGTTTGACCTTTATGCATTACATATTATCACTGTTTTGAATTAAGCTATTACTGTCTCATTGTTATTTTAGCAGCTAACAAATGAGTAGGTGTTCTGAAAAGCAGTGTTTAGCATCATGTAAAATGTTATTTTAAAAGTTCATTTCCACTGAGAGGATTTTCTAATAACCACGTTTCTGCTAGTAACTCAGCCATATATATATAAAAATATTGAAATTAGAGAAATAGAAACTACTGCTGTGATATAATTTGATAGAAAAATATTAATAGATGGTAGACATTGTAGAGTTTCTTTCCATGTAGAAATGTTACATTGGAGGATTAACAGCACTTTTATTCATTCAAAATAGTCACAGCATCCATTCTATTTTAAAATGTTAAAATACAAATACAATTAACTAATGTATTTATCCACATTATCTAAATTACACAAATAAAATATATATTTAATATTATTAAAATATCTAGGGATCTGATATGTCCTGGTATGTCTATCTAATCTGTGTGTGTGTGTGTGTGTGTGTGTGTGTATGCTGAGATATATATACATAAAGATATATACATCTATAGATATTGATATAGTTTGGATATTTTTCCCCACCCAAATCTCATGTTAAAATGTTATCAATGGGGCCTGGTAGGAGGTGTTTGGGTCACGGGGGTGGATCCCTTGTCAATGGCTAGGGCCATTCCCTTGGTAATGAATGAGCTCTCACTCTGTGTTCACTTGAGACCTGGTCATTTAGAGGTGTGTGGCACTGCCCCCTCAACTCTCTCTCCTGCTCCCATTCTTGCCCTGTGAGATGCTTGCTCCCTCTTGGCCTTTTTCCATAAGTAAAGCTCCTTGAAACCTCCCCAGAAGTTGAGCAGATGCCGTCAACATGTTTCTTGTACAGCCTATAGACCGTGAGCCAATTAAATCTCTTTTCTGAATAAATTACCAAGTCTTAGGCATTTCTTTATAGCAATTCGAGAATGGCCTAATAGTGTGTGTGTGTGTAACTACAGTATATATACAGTATATATATATATAGTATGTATATATACAGTATATATATATAGTATGTATATATACAGTATATATATAGTATGTATATATACACTATATAGTATGTATATATACACAATATATATACTGTATATATAGTGTGTATATAGTATACTCATACACACAATATATACTGTATATATACACACACACTGAGCATATATTCATCCACACATCCAGTCCTCTCAGCCATGGCTCTACCCTGAATTTATACACTATGTATGTGTATATATACGGTATATACATTGTGTATGTATATATACATACTATATATGTAATCTGATATATGTGTAACTACTGATTATATAATTCATAATATTTAAATTCCCTTATGCAATTTTTTACTCTGCTATTATCCTAAATTTATAATCATTCCATAATGAAGCAAATAAGCCTATGCCTCATTCCTGGGGTGTTTAGACCCTGTTTAGATCCTGACAGATGCAATGTCTTCAATTAAGTTCTTTTACACACTGAAGGGATAGTTCAGGAGGATCATTAATACTGATACCATCTAAGCAGAAAATAGTCACAGATAATTAACTAAACTTAATCGTACTTTAGTATGGATACCTTCTTTACATCGAGGATCAATTTTAAGTTCACTGAAATGGATGTGGTAAACATATCAGAGTTACCTCCTGTGGCATTATATTTGTAGTAAATGTAGTTTTTCAAAACCCTTTAAATACTTGAACATATTTTTAAGCTCACAAAATACTTTGTTATTATTGCTTTGGAGCCAAATTTTCCAATTGCAAATATCTAATGATAATTTTTTATATATAACTTTACTGCATACAAGTTGGCAAAAGAAAAAAACAACAACAAAATTTTAACTTCTTTGTAAGAAATCAATTGTAGATAATGAATGATCGAGCTACTTTTCTGACCAGTCAAGAAGTGTGAACAGATGCTGGAACTGAATAGCAGTTGCTAAGACTTTGCAGGCCGACCACCACCAGGCTCTAAGTGTCCTATACAACAGGTGGAGATATAAGGACTTCTTTTAATTGCAAGACACATGATGAAAAATAAAAGGCACATTCTGTCCACCCTTAAAGTTCTTTCCCTAATTCCCTAAATTAGGTTCTTGTGAAATACCTGTAGTTGTTATGAAAGTCATAGAATTTAATTTATAGGTGTCTCTTAATTAAGTTAGGTTAGCTAGCTGATGTTTGTTTCAAGGATCATGGAATCGGCCATGCAGTAATTTATATGCCCAAAGAAAAACCTGATTAAAATGCTTAATATGATGAACAGACCTTGAATAATCTTCATAATTATAGAGTACACACTACTTACATTTTTGAAGTGGTTCCAAAACCATTTGTCCACTGTGTGTATCTTCAAGGAATAAACAATTCACTAAACCTCCTCTCTATGGAAATGTATAGACCCTTGGCCCATCACCTCCTCATCCTTGCAGATTTTAATGCCTGGTTCACTGCTCCATGATCCAATAACCCTCTTGTAGTATTCTTTGGAGTTTTCAATATCCATGTAGACCATTCTTTCAATGAACCTATCTCTGAAATATTGGCCCTCCTCCATTGATACCATCCTCCAGCATGTCTTAATCACTCAGTTCCAAGATCATCTCCTGGAACTCAACATAATCATTAACTACAACTACTCCATAATTGTGCTTCTCATTTCCTGCAGCTCTCTAAATTCACTGTTAACAAAAGTTACATCTATGTCTTGTTCACTCATGTGCTCACTTCCCTTCCACTTAGCTTTAGTCCCACATTCTATCATTATGACTCCCTTGCAATCACCTTTGATTTCTTTGCTCCTCTCTCTTTCCTAACACTTGCTCAGAAAAACAGCAATGCTGATTAAGTGAAACTTGTGCTTCAGCATCTCCCTGGGGGGAAGAATGGAAGAATGTGGCTGGGGAAAACCACACACCTATGCTGATTGGTCTCACTTTAAATTCATAGCTCCTAACCTTCAGTGGGACCCTGGTGTTGCAATCCTACTTCATTCCGCTGCTCCATTTCCTCCTCTCCCCCAATACCTTCAATCTACCCATTTCTTCTTCAGCCAATTACATTTCCTAGTTGTTTAAAATACCTACTTATTTTCTTGTTCTCTTTTAAAGTAACAATCATCATTGCTTTCACTTTCTTTTGCCTCATTCTTTTTGAACCTATTTCAAAAAGACTTTCATCCCCACCATATCAGTCCCTGTCAAGTCATCAGCAATCTGCATGCTGCTAAATCTAGTGGAAAATTCCCAATCCTTACCTTCAGCAGCATTTGATACAAATCATTCCGTCTTTCTTGAAACATTTTCTTGTAGTTTTCTTAGTATTTCTCTCTCTCTCTTGCTTCTCCTCCTACTAAACCTACTGTTCCTTCTCATTTAGATGTCTCCTCGATTTTCTCATTTCCAAACAGTGGAGAGCCCCAGGTTTCAGTCCTTGGACTTATACTGCTTCCTGTCTACACCTACTCCCTAGGAGATCTCATTCAAGTTCCATATTCCATCTGTATGTTGACTTATCTCTCTAGCTATATCCTCTATTGAGTTTTAGACCTTACACACAACTGCCTGCTCCCAGTCAGCACAGTCTAACAAACATCTCAAACTCTTTGTTTCTAATACCAAACTACCATTAAAAATAAATGTTTCTCTCTCAGTTTTCTCCATGCAAGTAAATGTCAACTCCATTCATCTATTCACTCAAACCAAAAACCTTAGCTTCATCTTTCACTCTTCCTTTTGACCTTCACATCCAGTCCAACCTATCAGGAATGGCTCTACCCTCAATTTATACCCAGAATCCAGTCATTTATCTTCATCTCCATTGTATCCACTTCTAGGCCACCTGTTGGATGGACTGCTGCAATAACCTTCCAGTTGATCTTCCTGCTTTCACCCATGCCCTGTCCCCATGGTCTAATTTTAGCACAGCAGCCAGAGTGATACATTTCAATGAGATGTTTTCATCCCCATCCCATTCAATGTAAAAGCCAAAGGTTTTGCAAGTGGAATTTTTTTTTTTTTTAGAAATTGTTTTCGTTTTCAGATGATGAGAATAATGCATGTTCAATAGAAGTGTTTCTAAACGACAAAAAAAAAAAATTGTTATTCTCCTTCTTGTTCCACACAATGACCATTGCCTTTAAAAAAAAAAAAATCACTGTTCAGGATTGGAATTAGCTAGGTAGGTATGAAAAATAGAGAGGATTTAAGTTGTATTTGCAATATTACCATGGTGCTTTACTTACAGCCTCTCTCATTGTGGTAAAGAAAGACTGCTCCTTCATGTTACAGCTGGTTTATATGTAATTATTTTTTTTAAATCCTGTAAGAAAACTCACTCAACTCTCCTGAAAAACCCCAAAGTGCAGAGACAAAATATTCCATAAATATCTTTAGAAACTCCCTGATCTAGCATCCAGCCCAACCTCACAATCATCTATTTGCTCTCCACCCCATTGTCAAACCAAGCCATGTGGAATTTAATATGGCTACCTAACTTCTGGATCTTTCTCTGATAACAATTCTCATTTTTGTATCTGTTGATAAAGAATGCTTCTACTGAATCCTTCGTCCATATACCCAAGGAAGGGTAAATGGAAAATATCGAAGAGATGAATTTTTTTGAACTTCTTGTCAGCATTGTTAATTGAAGATGTATTTTCCTATTGATTTGATCATGTGTTACTTGATTTTGTTCTGATTCTCAGTTTAACACGGTATTTCCATCTGAAGCTTCTGATGCATACTTCATTTATTCTAACGTTAAACAGAATTTTAAAGCTCAAAAACTTCAATGTTAATTGACTGAAAATGCTAATCTATAAATTCATTTTATTGTAGAAATCTTATAAGGATATGTTGTATAGTTCTATGTCATTTCCCATGAATTTAAGATTTAGAGATTAAAAAATCAGTAATTTGTAAATGGTAATTTTATCTTGAGCAGAATTCTATGCCTGTAAACCAAGATTCTGTATCAGTCAGTAATAGGGCTGAATATGTGACGATGTGTACACAGGGAGGGTGTACTTTACCTTTAAGCTGGCCAAATGTGCTTTTTTATTTTTTTAAATAAAAAAGAGCCTAAATAGAAATCTTATCTGTAAATATTCATTGGTCCTAATTATCTTTTATAGAGTTGCTTTTACCTTACTCAGTTGTGATTTCATTATTAAAACTTCAAGTCACAGACCAACTAAGTGCTTCTTTGGTGTGTGTGTTTGTTTGTATCATGGATATCCAGAACATTTGTCATTGGATATGATCATTATAAAACTCTTGAACATGACTTCTCTGACCGTGGATCTCAGGAGCTGTACTTGAAGTTTCAAATCAGCTGGCAGTCAAAATGTTTAATAATTCCTTTCCACCGAGCAAAGATTTCTTTCAATTTCTATTCTAGGAGTTTGTACTTTTTCTAATGTATCCTGCACAACTAGGTCCATCAAGATAAATTTCTGTGCTTAATGTCATGAATAGAACAGAAAATATGTTAAAAAGTGATGGCTCCAAAGGCATAGCATTTTAATCTAAAACATCTGTGATTTTTCTTGTTCACAGAATGTCTGCCTCCCTCATTAATCTGTCAGGTTTTAAAAGATCTGGGAATGAATCTGCTTTGTTTACCACTATGTCTTCAGTGTCTCACCTGGGGAAAAGTTTGTGATAGATTTTTAGGGAATAAATTAGTTTTTGTTGGATGGATGGATGGATGGATGGATGAATACTCTTATACTCATCCTGTAAATATAAGTGACATAAAAATCATCACAAATAGATGTATTGCCAGGTGGTTTTTGATAATCAACTGTCTCAGTCCATTTGTGTTGTTATAACAAAATACCACAGACTAGGTAATTTATAAACAATAGAAATATATTTATCATGGTTCTGGAGGATGGGAAGTCCAAAATCGAGGCACCAGCAGGATTGGTGTCTGATGGGGATTGCTCTTCTTCCAAGATGGTGCCTCATTGCTACATCCTTCAGAGGAGAAGAATGCAGTCTCCTCACATGGTGAAAAGGATGGCCTGGAGAAAGAGAGTGTTCCATGTATTCTTGAACCCTTTTATAAGGATGTTAGTCCCATTCAGGGCCCTCATGCTGTAATCACTTCCCAAAAGTCACACTTCTTAATACAGTTGCATTGGGGATTAAGTTTCAACATGAATTTTGGAGAAGCCACCATCATTCAAACCACTGCAAAACAGAAATCAGTCTTACCTGGAAGTATGTGGAATGGCTTTATTGAATATGGGTTCTTTCAACAGATAGAGATAAGATAAGGTCATTGAACAATATGATTCTTATCAGAGCAAACAGAGGCAACGGTGACTGAGCATGGAGATATGTGAGAAAGTTTAACAATAGTTTGGATAAAATGTAGAAATAAAACCAGGAGGCCCCCGTCATGGAGAGTTTTTGAATGTTAAGTCAGAGATTGGGTGTTTTAGTGGGTAGATAACCAATAGGGAACACAACAAGGAGTACATAAACTACATCATATTCACATTGAAAACTGAGAGAATTGAACGGCAGCCACAATGAAGTACATGAAGAGAAGTACTAACTAAAAATAGATATTTTTCAGAGATGCTTTTACCATTTACAAATGCAGGTACATGCACTCTCTGCCTGTTATTCATTTTCCAAGAGGGCTCCAGGCAATCAACCTTTATCTTTTTTGGGACTTCAAAAGAGGACAATGTTAAAGCTGCATTAGACATACCCCAACTGTTTGTTTATGATGGCTTTTACTGTTTATATGCAAACCTAAATATGTAAATCTTAGAAAAGAATGCTAAAAGAAAGGGTATAAGGCAAGGAAAATCTGGCAAATTTTTAAATTTTAGGTTTCAGTTAAATTAAAAAAATAGTAACATTATCTTTCAAACGTGAAAATTTCAGTTGCAAAGAATAGTACAAATAAATCAAAGTAAATGTAGATTTAGTTGGCTCATATTAAAAGAAATACTAATCAGTAACAGTACAGCTTGATTTGTCATTGGATGAATGATGAACTGGGGAAATTGAGGCAATCACAAATAGTCTAGCTTCAGTTTACCTCCTCATGAAGACTTCTCAGAATACTCAAACCTACAATGAATCCTCAGCACTTTGCCTAAGGCTTGAGCCTTATAACCTACTCAATAAATATTTGCTAAATGACTTTGCCCTTACTAACTTTGCAGCCTTTTTTTTCAGTTAGTAATAAAACTACTTTGTATTGTTATTTGATATCTTCATTTTTCATCTAGACAGTGTAAGATGAAGGCCCTCTCTCACACTTTTCTTTCATCTCATACTTCTCATTTAATGATTAAAATTGGCAATACAATTAGCGTTACATAAATTGCATTGAATTAGATTGCTACTGTCTTCTACCCTAGAATGGAGGATTCAATTTATAGTTGACCTTTCTTCTGAAGCTTAATTGTTGTTTATTATTCAGTTTGTTCTACGGAAGTTACCACTTTCTTTTACATAGGATTTAGAGTGTATTTATAAGTTGGATTCTCTGCTTTTGGAACTTCCATTATTCACTTAAAACAGATTCATGCTTTAGAAAGATAAGGAGACAAGAGGAAGAATCCCCCTGTGTTTTATGTCCTACTTTTGTAATACCTGCTCTTCTAAGGTTGTGATTTTGTTGCTGTTGTTTTATTTCAGTAGTTTTTTGGGAACAGGTGGTGTTTGGTTACATGGAAAAGATATTTAGGGGTAATTTCTGACATTTATGTGCACCTATCACCTGAGCAGAGTACAGTACACCCAGTGTGTAGTTTTTTCTCTCTCATCCCCCTCCCACTCTTTCCCGATTCTCCAAAGCCCATTATAATATTCTTAAGTCTTTGCATCCTCATAGCTTAGCTCCTGTTTATAAGTGAGAATATACAATGTTTGATTTTTCTATTCCAGAATTACTTTACTTAGAATGTTGGCCTCCATCTCCATCCAGATTTCTGTGAATGCCATTATTTCATTCATTTGTATGTCTGAGTAGTATTCCATGGTGTGTGTTTGTGTATATATATATATATATATACACCACATTTTGTTTATCCACTTGTTGGTCAATGGATATTTAGTCTTCCTTAT
Organism: Homo sapiens; assembly: GCF_000001405.40. Classification (NCBI taxonomy): domain Eukaryota; kingdom Metazoa; phylum Chordata; class Mammalia; order Primates; family Hominidae; genus Homo; species Homo sapiens. The sequence continues at coordinate 147,429,226 of NC_000007.14, forward strand.
TTTTGCAATTGCAGATTGTCATTTTTTGATTTTTTTAAATTATGGCCATTCTTGCAGGAGTAAGGTGGTATATTATTGTGGTTTTGGTATGCATTTCCCTGATAATTAGTGATATTGAGCAAGTTTTCATATATTTGTTGGCCATTTGTATATCTTCTTTTGAGAATTGTGTATTCATGTCCTTAGTCCACTTTTTGATGAGATTATTTGTTTTTTTCTTGTTGATTTGAGTTCCTTGTAGGTTCTGTCAGATGCATTGTTTGTGAAGCTTTTCTCCCACTCTGTGGGTTGTCTATTTACTCTGCTGATAATTTCTTTTGCTGTGCAAAAGCTTTTTAGTTTAATTAGATCCCATTTGTTTATCTTTGTTTTTGTTGCATTTGCTTTTGGTTCTTGGTCATGATCTTTTTGCCTAAGCTATGTCTAGAAGAGTTTTTTCTGATGTTATCTTCTAGAATTTTTATCGTTTCACATCTTAAAGTCTTTGATCCATCTTGAGTTGATTTTTGTATAAAGTGAGAGATGAGGATCCAGTTTCATTTTTCTATATATGGCTTACCAATTTTTCCAGCACCATTTGTTTAATAAGGTATCCTCTCCCCACTTTATGTTTTTGTCAGCTTGGTCAAAGATCAGTTGGCTGTAAATATTTGGCTTTTTTTCTGGGTTCTCTATTCTGTTCCATTGGTGTACATCCTTGTTTTTATACCAGTACCTTGCTGTTTTGGTAACTATAGCCTTGTAGTATAGTTTGAAGTTGGGTAATGTGATGCTTCCATATTTGTTCTTTTTGCTTAGTCTTGCTTTGGCTATGTGGGGTCTTTTTTGGTTTCATATTAATTTTAGGATTGTTTGACTTAGTTGTATATGCTAGATGTCAAAGCAGGAAATAGATATTTGGTGTCAGAAACATGAATCTATTTATTCTTGTGTTCTCATCCCATTTTCCCTCTCAACTCACCATGAGCCAAATACAATTATTTTCTAAGTAAACATTTTGACAAATGCATTATATATTTAGCTAGAAGAAGTTTCTGCCTTCTATGAGGTCACAGCCTAGGAAGAAAGAGATTTGATAATGACCCAGTTAATTGGCTTGATTACAAAATTTTGGCTTTTAGTTAGCAGAATTCCTATTTAACTGGTTTTTCTAACCATCTCAGGATTAACCCATCTGTTCAGTGAAGATACTTAGAGAAACCTGTATTCTAAGAGGTTATTCAAAAGTATTCTCAGAGGTACATGTGCATATATCTTTTGCCAGTACAAGCTAGCAATCCAATGGGAAGATGTTTACCTGAAAAATAAAGAGGAAAACTAATCCCCTCAGCAAGTGTTTATCAACTGTCTTTGCCAGGCACCACCCACCAGTGCTCTACATGTGATGTGAGCATGCCCTGAAGGAGATCATAGTCTAGTGCAGCAATTAAACAGTAAAGAAATAATTACAGTACATTATGATGAGTCCAACTAGGACACAGAGGAGGAGGGAGCATTATAGGGTGCAGAGAAACATTCCCAGAGAACTCAGAGTAGGTAAGATACATGGGTTGAAGGAGCCGGGCACAGTGGCTCACACCTGTAACCGCAGCACTTTGGGAGGCCAAAGTGGGTGGATCACGAGGTCAGGAGATCGAGACCATCCTGGCTAACACAGTGAGACACCGTCTCTACTGAAAATACAAAAAATTAGCCGGGCCTAGTCTCAGCTACTCGGGAGGCTGAGGCAGGAGAATGGCGTGAACCTGAGAGGCGGAGCTTGCAGTAAGCCGAGATCACGCCCCTCCTGCACTCCAGGCTGGGCGACAGAGTGAGACTCCATCTCAAAAAAAAAAAAAAAGATACATGGGATGAAGGGAACAGCATGGGCAACAGAAGGTTAGGAGAAGCGCAGGTCATATGGTATGACTGGCTTGTTGAATTCATGATTAGGTTGGTTTGAGCAATTGAAAAGTGATTAATGTCAACCACTTCTCATTTTTCTTTTATTTGATAAATATTTCTTCTTACATATCTGGTCACAAACCTTTAATGAATTCCATGTAAAACAATCAATAAATTTTCTTATTCTTTCCCTCCTGTGACAATAGAGATGGTGTCTCTCTATCTCTTTTGGAACCTGTCCCTTTAATAGCTTCTGAGAAACTTTAAACTATAAACTTTTCCCTGTATATTGCACTGCTAGCTTCAAACCAAATCACTGCCATCAGCCTTTAAACATACTTGAGTCTGTCCCATATTAATCTTGATTTCACACATGTGCCCCTACAACCTCTGCTTCTCTTTACAATAAAGACTTGTACAAGAGTTGTCTCTAGCTCCACACTGCCACTTAATCCTGGACCGCTCCAATCTGGCTTTCACCTCCATCACTCAACCAAGACAGCCCTCCACAAAGGTCACTAATGACCGCCATGTCTCTTAATAAAATAGACTTTTCAGTCCTCTCCTTGTTTTTTTCTCTGGGATATGTTTGGCACTGTAAATCAGTTTATCTTTCTTGAAACAATTTCTTATGTTGGTTTCCATGACATCCCACTCTTGTTTTTCTCTATCTTTTTGAGTTCTGCCTGCCCCTGCTAATTTCCTTTTCTAGGCTTATTCTCCTTTACCTAGTTGGCAATTAGAAGTTCCTGAAGGCTCTGCACTAAGCACTTTCTCTTTGTTCTTTAACTTCTTCCATGGATTTGATTTCTGAGTACTCTAAAAACTCCCAAATTTAATTCCCAGTGAAGACTTGCCTTTCAGTATATCTGGGTTTGTTTAACATGCATCTCAAATGCATTTCCCATTTCTTATATCCTGAAATCTGACCTGCGCCCCTTGTTTTCTGTGTAGGAAAATTCACAAATATCTATCTTGTGCATTAGGTCAAGAGACCATGGAAAACTCTTTAAATTGTTAAAACACTTTAGAACCGAGTTTCTTAACCTCAGCCCTATTGACATTTTGAGCTACATAATTTCCTGCTGTGGGGGTCTCTGTGCATTGTGAGATGTTTGGTGAGCATTCCTGGCCTATACCCACTAGATGGCATAGCACCCCCTCCAGTTGTGACAAGCAAATTGTGTCCAGACATTGCCAAATAGCTCTTGGGAGGGATAAGGAGGCCAAATCAGCCCTTACTGAGAATCGCAGCTTTAGAAGGAAGATAAGAGACAAAGCTGTGTTTTTTAAAAAATAGAAATCATGCTGAAGTTTTCTACCAAGGAAATTATTAGTTCAGTTGTATGCCCAAAGTGTATGACATTAAGTATTATTTATCAATATCACTACTTCCCACATTAGCTACATGTTGTGAGTCTCATTGGTTATCTAAAATATGCTTCACAAAATTTGCCCAGCAAAGATTTGTCCAGTGAGCACCAAGAAACCCCATTTGGACCTTGCTGATAGTTCCAGCATATTTCCACACAATTTCTCTCCTCTCATCCTCCTAATCTCCCAACCACAGTCACAGTGTTTTTTGAAATCATATGCTCCTCCTGTCATCCAGTGTCACCCAGTGTTCTTTCTGGAACATCCTGCCCATTTCACTTAACCCCCCTTCATCCTGCAAACACAGCCCAGACATCACCTCCCTACAGAGGCCTTTCCTAAACCCCAAAGCCCTTTAGGTTTTCATGCACTCTTAGAGCTGTGCTGCTTTCCTTCACTGGCACTTACCTAAGTTTATGATTAAATATGCATTCGCATGGTTATTTGAATATTTATCACACCCAATAGCCTTTAACAAGGATGTAACACATAAGCTCTAAAACACTGGTGCCTGGCAGTGACATGTATGATTCATTTCAAAACAGAAAGGTAGATAATCAGGCACAAGGACTGCTACCTGGCTCACCAGCAGCACAGGACATTTGAAATCAGCATTGCACTAAAAAATGTCCTTGTTATAGTGGCCATCCGCAGAGTGCTGAATCTTTCCCCTGTGTCGTGACGCCTCTTTTATATCATAATTTTTAAATCTTCAACCATCATCCTCTAAAATACTATTTTTTCAGAGTTGTTAAGTTCCGTGGGCGAATAATTTGCATTCATTTTAAGACAAATTTGTTTAGGCGATAAATGCATTATTATTTTTCTCTACCTCACAATATGACATGGATTTTCAATTGAAAATTCTGCCTGAAACTGATTGGAGTTGGGATAAAGTTGTAGACAATCTATAGTAGTTCATTTGGTCACAGCGTGTTTGCTTTACTTTTGGATCTTGAGAAGAAAGGACTGTTATCTGCAGGGCACTCTGGGACAACTTCTTGGTGATAAGAGTGAAGACTCATATTTGCTTTGTAAATCAATAAAAAAGAGACCTTTCAGGCAAAAGTGTTGATGACTGAGGAGGACAAGTTGTGAATTTTATATTGGAATGTAATGTTACCTATGAAATTTTCCACCTATTTTAGGATTTTCATATTTTCAGATCAATCAAAATTTGTTGTGAACAAGGTTTCTCCTCCGTGTCCTACGAACTACAAAAAAATGAGTGCCTGTGGGTGTTTTCAAACTGCCTGTGGGTAGACAGAGCTATGTTACTACCTGGAACTCTGTGAATGTCTAAAAGAAAGTCAAAATATCAAAATCGAAAAGGAACTTATTTTCTTTGATATGTCTTGTTGTATGACCTTGGTAGGAACAATGACAAAATTTTGACATGTTCAGATGTCTTAGAACAATGAAATTAGTATATATTAAAATAGCAGTGCTTTGTTGTCCTTTTAAATAATACATGCATTTTAAAGTATTCAGAAGCTTTTTCTACTTTGTATAAATACCTTATCAGTCCTCTAAAATAATCCAAGCTTAATAGGAAAAAAAATGAAGGAGCTTTGTTGAGGCTTACTGAATGTCACAGAGCCTGCAAGGTTAGAACTGAGCATAGAAAGTGAAGAAATATGTTCTTGATGCCTATTCAACTGGGTTTCCTGTTCAAGGTTATGCACTCTATTTGCTAATAGTTGTAGTATTCTGTACCACAATTGCTGAGATTAATATCTTGAGAAAATATTGTACCATTCCAGTTAATAATTATGTTGATTTCTATTCTTCAGTTTAAAGTAGATATATGAAAATAGGACCTAGTGTGTGACCACTCAAAAACCCTATTTTCCTCACGTTTGTAGTGTATTTCTAAAGGCCTCTCCAGGATTATTTCAAAATCAAAATTGAAATATTGTCTACCAAGATATTGAATTAATTATGTATCTATTTCATTTTACTGTTTGAACACTCCCTTCTAATTTGTATATAGAGAGATAGAATTGTCTAGCACTTTTCCGAAGGAAAAAGAAATCAAGAATAATATTTAAAGGCTCATAATATCTTCCGTCTACATGTATTAATTGTATATGGACTTTAAACAAATACAATTAAGGATAGTCTTGTTCTGCATATAATTGATTTGCCTATGTTGATGAGATGCTGACAACCAGGTATGAAAGCTGGTTTTGCTTATCTAAAAGAGTGGACTAAAAGTAAGTTAAGTGGTTTCTTTAGTGTTCTGTAGCTTTAGTTGTACATGGAGCACCTGCTCCTCTTGGAAGTCACAGCACTTTAAGTAAGTTCGCCATGGTCTGCTATGCTGCGCAGACTAAGCTGTGCAGACTATGCTGCCCAGACTCCTCTTCCTCCTCTTTAGACTGTGGCAGTAACCTAAAAGACTTGGCCTCTGTTTCAACTCTCATGCCACACATCATCTTTTGTCTTTCCTGTGGTTCAGGTATTTGTGTGTGAGGGTTGAGGTGGGGGTGCACCAAATTCATACAGATTTCCTCAGTAGCTTTATTTTCTGAATTTGAGGCAACAGGACAGTGAAAAATGGCGATCGTTATATTGATTCATACAACACAGAGATCTGAAGGAAGCATTTTGTACAAACCCTGCTCTGGGTAACACAGGAAATGCCAAGATTTTGAAATGTAACTTTCTTGGTCTTGAAGACCAAATTGTGCTCAGAAAAGGCAGAGTCCCTATAAGTTTTGTCACAATAAATGAGTAGAGCCCACTGCAGGTTGGAAATCTACAAATCATTGCAGGGTATTATTAAGATAATAACTGCACGAGAGCCATCACAGCAGCAGAGGTAAGGATCTCTGCCAAGATTCACCTTAGACCGGTGATTCTGGAACTTGAGCAAGCCTAGACTCACCAGGAGGGCTTGATTGCTAGAGTAGGAGAATTTTCCCCGTCTTACATATAACCAGGTGATACTGACCACACTTGGAGAATCACTGCCTTAGGCATTAGGATCTGAGACTATATATCCATGGATTGCAGCAAGAAGCAGACAAAAACATTTCTTCATACACAAGAATGTTTGTGACTTAGCAAGGCTGTTATTGGAGACCTGGCCATTTTAGGTAGTTTTGTATAATTTGCCTTATTCCATCCAATGTTCTAATTTCTAATGTTTATAGGCTGCAAGCCTAGACGCTACTGTTGTGAAACAGTTAAACACGTTGGGTGTGGTGCCGAGCTCCTTCCTAGGTTATCAAATCCAAGCTCTGCCATTTATTAATTGTGTCATTTTGAGGCAGGTATTTATATTCTTAGGGCCATGGTGTCTTCATCTGTAGAATAGGAATAATAGCACCTATTGCTAGTATTGCTATTAGGATTTTCAAAATAACACACATAATGCATTGGAGAAAGTGCCTGGCAAATTATAAGTATGTAATAAAACTTATCTCTCTTTTTACTCCTTATTTCTTATTACAGTGGTTTTGTTTTTCATTTCTTTTATTTTTTGGATAGTTAAACCTTATAAGGATTTAAAAGTTTCATGTGACCATTCAAATATCCCAATTTATCATTTAAACGTAAACAACAATGGTGCCAGAGTAGTCATGGGGCCCTCTCCAGCTTCATCCTACAGAGGAGCCCCACCTGGGCAACTGAAATAAGATTATAAGCTACTAGAAGAATAAAGAGGTCTTATTTCATTATTTAATTAAGCCGCTGAATAGTTTATTCTTCCTAAAGCAACATCACATATACCAATTAGGTTAGATACCCTTATTAACTAGCCAGGGAACCTTCTCTCTTGAAAAACATCAACAAGAAGTTTTTGTTGTTATTTTTGTCATTCTTGTTTGGTTCAAGAAATATAATTAAATAAATTTATTCCAGAAATTTTAAATTTCAGTTAAAAATTTTTAATTTGATGTTATATCAGAGTTATGAAAATCATGGCTAACTATAATATGGCCTGAGAAAATCCACTTATTTCAAAAGGGAATAAACAGACTAAAAAACAATAAGAAAACAAAAAGCAGATGAGTGTGAAAATTACAAGATAAACTCAGAATACACCTGGTCAAAGCAAACATTACACTGGGCAAAGTTACATAGGCAAGAGAGGCTTTATTCAAAACTATTGTAACAGAAGAGAGAGGCTGTAACTCAGCCTGAGCTCAACTCCACTGAAACAAAGGGATGAAGAGTTTTTAAGAGCTGGGATGGGAGAATCTGTGTAGGCCATTTGTGCTTGCTAATTGGCTTTACCCACAGATGAAGTAAATTTTCTCCTATCTTCATGACAGGAGGTAGTTTTACAACTTAGAGCAAGGCTCTTTGAAGTTAGGCTCCCACCCACACTCAGGTGTAGACTGTATCCCTTTAATGCTTTTATTTCAAAGTGATGGCTCCTGGGTGCTTAAGGAAAACATTCCAGGGTTTTAAAACTGACAAGAAGCTTTAAAAAAAGGTTTACATCTCAATCGGGCAAAGAAAGAGTTTCAATTACTTGTTTTCTAAAGTAAATGCTTTAAGAAAGGGAAGTTAGGGACCTAGAGTCAGGAGGAAGCCTGTATAAAGTTTAGTCCAGCTGAGGGAACTGCTAAGGCCATCTTGGTCTCGGTGAACACTTGGTTTTCACATAGTTTTAATCACGGAACTAGTATGTGGCCTGGACACACTTGGAAAGAAGCCAACACCAGAGGGATTGCTGATATACTGTGAATATCTAATTCCTACATTTATGATAATGAGGTGGAATGAAATAAAGAGGAGACAGTGTGAAATTGGAAAGTATGTAGTTTGATGTTACTTGCAAGTATACTGTGAGGCCCAATTTATGACACTGGGCTGCATAGAGCTTTTTCTGAAAGTCCATCTAGCTAAACCCTGTCCTTTAACCATATGGGCCAAATGACTTTTGCTTTATTTTATTTTAGGGAATTTTCTTTATTTGTAACATTCCTTTCAGCTCTTTTTAGATTCTAATATTCCAGAATGTCTTTTTTCCAGTGTAGGTTCTTGGCATCTTTGTCCAACATTTCATAGTAGGTGTATAAATTTGTTTTTGGTTTCTGAATTCTATTCCATTGATCTGTTTGTCCACTTGAATGCCAGTACCAGGCCATTTTGGTTACTATAGCTCTGTAGTATAATTTAAAGTCAGGTGATTCCTCCAATTTTGTTATCTTGCTCAGGATAGCTCTGGCTATTCTGGGTATTTTTGTGGTTCCATACAAATGTTAAGATATTTTTCTATTTCTGTAAAGAATGCCATTGATGTTTTGATAAGAATTGCATTGAATCTGTAGATTGCTTTGGGTAGTATGGACATTTTAACAATATTGATTCTTCCAATCCATAAAAATTGAATACTTTCCATTTTATGGTGTCCTATTCAATTTCTTTCGTGTTTTATACTTTTCATTATAGAGATCTTTCATTTCCTTAAGATTGATCATTGTTGGCATATAGAAATGGTACTAATTTTTAATGTTGATTTTGTTTCCTGCAACTTTACATAATTTATCAGTTCTAATAGTTTTTTTGTGTGCAGTCTTTAGGTTTTTCCAAATATAAGATCATACTATCTGAAAACAAGGATAATTTGACTTCTTCCATTCCAATTTGAATGCCGTTTATCTCTTTCTTTTGTCTGATTGTTTTATCTAGGACTTCCATTACTACATTAAATAATAGTGGTGAAAATGAGCAACTTCGTCATGTTACAGATCTCAGAGGAAAGGCTTTCAGTTTTTCCCCATTCAATATGATGCTAGCTGTGGGTTTGTCATATATGGCTTTCATTATGCTGAGATATGTTCCTTCTATCCCCAGTTTTTGAGAGTTTTTATCATAAAAGGAATGCTGAATTGTATCAGATAATTTTTCAGCATCAGTTGAAATGATTATACGGTTTTGGCCTTCATTCTGTTGATATGATGTATCACATTGATTTGCATATGTTGAATCATCCCTGCATCTCAGGGATAAATCCCCCTTAGTCATGGTGAATTATTTTTTTTTTGGTTTGCTATTATTCAGGATTTTTGCATCAATTTTTATGAGTGATATTGGCCTGTAGTTTTATTTTTTTCATGTGTCTTTGTCTGGTTTTGGAATCAGGGTAATACTGGCATGATACAGTGATTTTGGAACTATTTCTCTCTTCCTCTATTTTTTAGAATAGTTTGAGTAGGACTGCTACTAGTTCTTCATTACATATTTGGTAGAATTCAGCAGTGAAGCCATCAAGTCCCGGGCTTTTTTTACTGGGAGACTTTTTATTATGCTTCAGTTTCATTACTTGTTACTAGTCTGTTCAGGTTTTGAATTTATTTGTGGTTCAATCTCAGTAGGTTGTATGTGTCTGGGAATTTGTCCATTTTTTTCCCTAGATTTTTCCAATTTATTGACATATAGTTGCTCATAGTAGCCACTGATAATCCTTTGAATTTCTGTGGTATTAGTTATAATGTCTCCTTTTTCATCCTGATTTTATTTATTTGCATCTTCTCTCTTTTTCTGTAGTCTGGCTAAAAGTTTGCCAATTTTGTTTAACTTTTCAAAAAACCAACTTTTTATTTCATTGGTCTTTTGTATTGTTTTCTTCATTTCAATCTTATTTATTTCTGCTTTGATTTTTACCATTGATTTTCTACTACTAATCTTGTGTTTGGTTTGTTCCTGCTTTTCCAGTTCTTTAAGATGCATTGTTAGGTTGTTTATTTGAAGTTTTTCTTATTTTTTGATGTAGGCACTTATAGCTATGAACTTTCCTCTTAGTACTGCTTTTGTCATATACCATAGGTTTTGGTATGTTGTGTTTCCATCATCATTTGCTTCAGAAAAATTCCAATTTTCTTAATTTTTTTATTGACCCACTGGTTATTCAGGAGCATATTGTTTAACCATGCATTTGTATAGTTTCCAAAATTGCTCTTGTCATTAATTTCTAGTTTTATTCCATTGTGGTTAGAAAAGATGCTGGATATTATTTCAATTTTTTTAATGTTGTGAGCCTTGTTTTGTGACCTAACATATGGTCAATCCTTGAGAATTATTCATGGTCTGAAAAAAAGAATGTACATTCTGTAGCCGTTGGATGAAATGTTCTGTAAATATTTATTAGATCCATTTGGTCTATAGTATATATTAAGTCTGATGTTCCTTTGTTGATTTTCTCTCTGAAAGATCTGTCCAATTCTGAACGTGGGGTGTTGAAATCTCCAGCTGTTATTGTACTGGGGACTACCTCTCTCTTTAGCTCTAATAATATTTGCTTTATATATCTGGGTGCTCCAATGTTGGGTGCATATATATTTAAAATTGTTATATCCTCTTGCTGAATTGACCCCTTTATCATTATAGAATGACCTTTGTTTCTTATAGTTTTAATCTTGAAATCTATGTTGTCTGGTATAAGAATCGTAACTCCTACTTTTGTTTTGGTTTCCAGTGGCGTGGAATATCTTTTTCCATCCCTTCATTTTCAGTCTACATGTGTCTTTATAGGTGAAATGTGGCAACAGATCATTGGGTCCTCTTTTTTCATCCATTCAGCCACTTCTTTTCATTGGAGAGTTTAGTACATTTATATTCAATGTTATTATTGGTAAGTAAAGACTTACTCCTGCCATTTTGTTCTTTCTTTTTTGTTGTTGTTTTGTGGTCTTCTCTTCCTTGTTTCCTTCCTGTCTTCCTTTTAGTGAGGGTGATTTTCTCTGATTATATAATTTAGTTTCTTGTTTTTTATTTTCTGTGTATCTGTTGTGTGTTTTTTTACTTCTGGTTATAATGAGACTTGCAAATACTATCTTATAGCCCATTATTTTAAGCTGATAACAACTTAACATCATTTGCATAAACAAGCAAGCAAAAGGAAAACTAATAAAAGCTCTACACCCTAATTTCGTCCCCTGGTTTTTAACTATTTGTTGTTTCTATTTATATCACACTGTACCATATGTCTTCAAAAGTAGTTGTAGTTATTATTTTTGATTGGTTTATCATTTAGTCTTTCTAGTTAAGATAAAAGTAGTTTATACATCATGGTTACCATGTTATATTCTATTTTTCTGTGTACTTACTAGTGAGTTTTGTACCTCTTGGTGATTTCTTATTGCTCATTAACATTCTTTTCTTTCTGATTGAAGAACTCCCTTTAGCATTTCTTGCAGGACAGATCTGGTATTGATGAAATCCCTCAGCTTTTGTTTGTCTGGGAAAAATCTTTATTTCTTCTTCACGTTCGAAGGATATTTTCACCAGATATACCATTCTAGAGTGAAGGTTTTTTCCTTTAGCACTTCAAATATGTCATACGACTCTCTTCTGGCCTGTAAGTTTTCCAATAAAATGTCTGCTCTCAAAGGTATTGGAGCTCCGTTGCATGTTATTTGTTTCTTTTCTCTTGCTGCTTTTAGGATCCTTTCTTTATCCTTGAGCTTTTGGAGTTTGATTATTAAAAGCCTTGAAGTAGTCTTCTTTAGGTTAAATCTGCTTGTTGTTCGATAATCTTCTTGTACTTGGATATTAATATCTTTCTTTAGGCTTGGAAATTTTTCTTTTATTGTGTCTTTGAATAAACCCTCTACCCCTGTCTATTTCTCTACCTTGTATTTAAGGCCAATAAGTCTTAGATTTGCCCTTTTGAGGCTACTTTCTAGATTCTATATGCATGCTTTATTCTTTTTGTTTTCTTTTGTCTCCTCCGTGTATTTTCAAACAGCCTGTTTTTAAGCTCATTCTTTCTTCTGCTTGATCAATTCAGCTATTAAAGGACTCTGATGCATTCTTCAGTATGTCAGTTGCATTTTTCAGCTCCAGAATTTCTGCTTAACTTTTTAATTATCTCAATCTTGTTGTTAAATTTATCTGATAGAATTCTGAATTCCTTCTCTGTGTTATCTTGAATTTCTTTGAGTTTCCTCAAAACGGCTATTTGTGAATTATCTGTCTGAAAGGTCACATATCTCTGTTTCTCCAGGGTTGGTTCCTGATTCCTTGTTTAGTTCATTTGGTGAGGTCATCTTTTTCTGGATTGTCTTGATACCTGTAGATGTTCATTTGTGTCTGGGCATTGAGGAATTAGGTATTTATTGTAGTTTTTGCAGTATTGGCTTGTTTGTACCCGTCCTTCTTGGGAAGGCTTTCCAGGTATTTGAAATTACTTGGGTGCTGTGATCTAAGCTGTTCCTTATTTAGGGAGCACCCCAGTAACACTATGGTTCTTGCAGACTCATACAGATTCATCTTGATCGTCTTAAAGAAGACCTGGGCGAATTCTCTGGATTATCAGATGGACACTCTTGTTCTCTTCCCTTACTTTCTTCCAACCAAATGTAGTCTCTTTCTCTCTCTCTCTCTCTCTCTCTCTCTCTCTCTCTCTCCCTCCCTCCCTCCCTCCCTCCCTCCCTCCGTCTCTCTCTGTTCTGAGCCACGTGGAGCTGGGAGTGGAATGACGTAAGCACCCCTATGGCAACCACCACTAGGTGGACCTGAAGCCAGCACAGCACTGGGTCCTACGCAGCATCTGTTGTAATCACTCTCTGGCTACTGCCTATGTTTCCTCAAGGCCCTGGGACTCAGCAGGGGGCAAAACCATCTAGGACTGTGTCCTTCACTTCAGGGTTGCAAGTTCCCCTAGGCCCTGGGTGGGTTCAGATGTGCTGTCTGTGAGCCAGGGACTAGAGTCAACAAACTTAAATGTCTACTTTGTCCTCTTTTGTCCTGCAGCTGAGCTGGCACTCAAACCACAAGATACAGTCCTTCCCACTCTTCTCTCCCCTTTCCAAAGGCAAAGGAGCCTCAGCTCATGGCCACTGCCACTACAGGTCCTCAGTGAATACTTCCAGCCTACCAAAAATGTTCCATTGAGGTCCAAGGACTCTTAAGTCAGCTTGTGGTGAATGCTGCCTGGTTTGGGACTCATCCTTCAGGGAAGTGGGCTCCCCTCTGACCCTGGAAATGTTTAGAAATTTCATCCAGGAGCCAAGTGCTGGAATTAGGGACTCCAAGAGCCCATTTTGTGCCCTACTCTCCTGTGGCTGAGCTGGTACCTAAGATGCAAGATGAAATCCCCTTTGCTTTTCCCTCTGCCTTTCTTAAGCAGAAGTCTCACCCCATAGCCATCATAGCTGGAAAAGTGCTGAGTCTCACCTGAAGCCAGCAAGTGTGAATCTCACCCAAGGCCCTCAGTGTAGTACCAGGTATTGCTGCTGGTTATTTGAGCCCAAGGACACTTCAGTTACCAGGGTGAATAAATCCTGTCAGGACTGGGTCATTTCCTTCGAATGAGAAGGTTGCTCTCTGGCCCAGGGTATGTCTAGAAATGTTATCTTGCAGGTAGGGCCTGGAAAGGGGGCCTCATGACTCTGACTGCTGCCCTATCCTGCTATAGAAGAGCTGCTATCCAAGAGGCAAAACGAAATCTTCTCCAGTCTTCTGTCTCCTGTCCTCAAGCAGAGAAAAGGGGTCTCTTTTGGAGCAGTTAGTTGTACAGCCTGGAATTAGGGGAGAGGTGGTGCAAGCACTCCTTTAGCCACCCTGGATAGCATCTCAGGAGGTTGTGTGCCCCACCCTCACCCCCAGTCAGCTGGGTTTGGGCCCAGTTCAGCACTAGGACTTAGGAGTTGCGGTCTTCATGGCCTATACTGCCTTTCAAGATTATTTAGGGCCGGGCCTCAGGGCACTTTAGCCAGCAGTAGTGAGGCTTGTGGGAACTCAAGCACTGACCACTGGGATCAGTGATTCCCCTCTGGCTAATGCTGGTTTAAATGGTCCCTCCATGGGTGGGTGTCAGCGGAGTTTGATCTGGTTTTCCTTTCTGCTATAACAGGACACCACTGAGTCCAATGACTGAAATTGCTGCACGCTGTCTCTCTCCTCAGCACATGGAAATGCTCTCCTCACCCATGCTGCCACTGCCTGCAGGTGGTGGAGGGGTGTCGTCATGGCAATTAGTGGCAATAGTCCTGAATAGGCAAGTAAGGACTATTTTTTTTTCTCCTTCTGAGTGACTCTTTCAATAATAGGAAGTTAAAATCCAGCACTGCGAGTGTTCATTTGGTTTTTGGTCCTTAGGAAAGTGCTTCTCTCTGTAGATAGTTGTTAAATCGGTGTCCTAGTAGGGGGATGATCGGTAGAGGCTTCTTGCTCTGCCCTCTAATTTGTAACATTTTTTTAGCTCTTTTTAGATTCTAGCATTCCAGCATATGGCAACATTTTAAGCATTAAATTTCTGTATAGGCCTTCCAGACATGGGTAAGTGTGTGTAGAGATATGTTTGTGACTTTATGTTTCCTTTAATATGCAATTTCACATTTACCAATCCTAAAACATTAAAAAGAGCATAATCCAAATACAGTGTTCAAATAAACACTGCAGTTATTTGTTAGCAAAGCAACTGGCTGTGATTCTATTTCAGGAAGATTATCTCCTCCAAGACGTAGAAATTTGCCAGCTACATTTGTTTGCTACTGATTCCTGAGTTTGGTTTGCTTTCATTCTTCTTTGGATCTCAGTCTCCTATGCACCATTCACATTTTCTATTCCCAGTAAAAAGGTTTTTGTATGGTCTTGGTTTTGTTCCTATCAGTCACTTAAAAGAACAGACACCCAAAGGCAAGGGCATTAATCATCTGTTTGAAGGTCCCTGGGAAATTATTATTTATATGTTGATAGTGAATCTATTTTACCCTTTAAGGGGCAAAATTGCTAGATTAGGAACATGGTTAGGAAAACATAGCAGTCATTAACCTTATCGCTTTTCCAACAAAGAAAAACTGTGTAACAACTGGCCAAAGCCCGTGGCAATTTGAGAACACAAGAGATCAACAAAATGAAGCCCAAGATGAGATAAAACAAGTTGCCAGCCTTTTGGCATAGGTTTAAAATAATTTTCTGTAAACACCTATCCTCAAAAATGGAAATCAGTGAAAATATTTCATAAAATGGCTAGAGAATTCTAAAGCTTACATTATATTCTTTAGTATTTTATATAAGAAAAATTTTGTTTGCTTTAGAAATTTCATAACGTATTTCTTTTAGTCTAATTAAATTTTCTTTTTTTTTTTTTTTTTACTAGCATCATTCCCCTTAGTCACTAAGAGTGAAATTAAAACCACTAAATTTTATTTTTTTAGGTTGTTGGAATTACAGGTTCTCTGAAGGGGTTGCTCTGCATAGATTATTGACAATAAATATGTTCCAAAAAACTCCATGCCAATGAGATGAGAGGAATTATTGGGCAAGAGCCAAAGAGGAACCAGGGAGATAGCAAGTGCAGGAGGAAAGCACAGGTATGGAAAGTGAGTGAAAGTAAAGGATGATGTATTAGTCCGTTATCACACTGCTATAAAGAACTACTTGAGACTGGGTAATTTATGAAGAGGTTTAATTGACTCACAGTTCCACAGGCTGTACAGGAAGCATAGCTGGGAGGCCTCAGGAAACTTATAATCATGGTGGAAGGGTAAAAGGGAAACAAGCACGTCTTCACATGGTGGAAGGAGAGAGAAAGAGTGAAGGGGGATGTGCTACATGCTTTCAAACAACCAGATCTCTTGAGAACTCTATCAGGGGAACAGCAAGAGAAGAATCCGCCCCCATGATCCAATCACCTCCCACCACATCCCTCCCCCAACTATGGGATTAAAATTCAACATGAGATTTGGGCAAGGACACAAAGTCAAACCATATCAGATGACTAGCCGAATGTTAACCTGATCTGTCCTCTCAGCAGGGACAGGTGCCCTCCTGCTTTATGGATGATTTAAAGTTATTATAACAGATGGTGGTGCTTCCTTTCATCTTTTACTTTGGAATTTTAGCATTAATTTAAAAAATATTTCCTATGAAACAGTGAGACAATAATGCTAGAACATTCTAGTGGTTCATAAAGAGCCTTTACAGGTAGGATTCACTTGGTTAGGGCGCCACATTACAGATTTGATCCCAAAATTGTGGATCTAGAAATTTTATTTTCACATGGTATTTTATGTGGGTTAGACATATTAGAATACCCTGCCTCAGTTTCCTTGTTGGTTGTTGTGGACAAAAATAAATGTACTTAGCACTGTTTTGAGGATAAAGGTGTTAGAACACTGCTTGACACAAAGTACTTAACAAATGTTAGTTGTCATTCTTAGTTTTATTAACATTCTCAACAGGCATATGCTGATTTATTAGCTTATGAAAAATACATTTAAGTGGGTCCAGAATTATTTTATTCTCCTTTCAGAATACTCTGTTCATGATACCAAAATAACTGAGAAGCTGCATTAGTCTATCTATGTTTCTTTCCTTCTTTCTCTCTTTTTCTTCTTTCTTTCTCTTTCTTCTTTCTTTTTGGAGACGGGGTCTTGCTCTGTCACTCAGGCTAGAGTGCAGTGGCATGAACATGGCTCAGGGTAGCCTTGACTTCGTGGGCTCAAGTGATCATCCTGGCTCAGCCTCCTCATTAATTTTAAGATGATTCTACTATGGAGAAAATTTAAAGAGTGATCAAAGGTTCTGAGTGGTTGTAGGAGATGTTTTATTTGGGATCTGAAGACTCTGATAAATCGCCTACCACCCTACACCTGCATACCATCACAGAACAGTCCACAAGATGTCAGTTGCACAAGGATCAGGGCAAGACACACTTGCTCTTTGTTTCTTTCTTTTTTTTTTTTTTTTTTAACCTGTGAGTCTCTGTATGTCTCTCTCTTGCTGTTGCTCTCACTGTCGGCCTCCTCTCTCCTCCCCCCACCCCTCACTAACTTTTGAGCTATCATGTTTTGTTTCCTAGATTCCAAGGTGGCACTCTTCCTTCCTAACATCCTTTTTAATTCCACTTATGCCATTGCTTATGTTAAGGTTTCCTGCAAATGAAATGAATCGAAATGAAATAGGATCAATTTCTTCTTGCTTTTAGCTGGGAGAGTCCTTAAGTGTATCACTGAAAGTGGTTGCTGGTTTGAAACAATATTTTTGGGTTATCTGGGGCCATAAGTAATGACATTTGATTTGTCCACATCATCAATAATGGAGTTAGTAGTAGACTGAGGTTCAAGAAGTTGAAGACCTGAGACCCATATCCAAGTTTTCCACTGTTTACAACCACGACTGCGAGAGGACCTAACTGTTGTATCTTCCTTACAATTAGAAGAGACACAACTTTTCCCAAGAACACCACCTCAAGAGACTGTTTACATTATTGAATTAGACTAAGCTTTAACATACAGTGAGTATTCAGTTAAATTATTTCTCTTCACATCAGCTGGTAGGGACTTATGGTGAGTACAAAATCAGCTATGGGCAAAGTTTAAAATGTTATATTTTCTCTGGACATTAATTATAATAGAAGATACATCTTATGCTTTCCACATAAAGAAGTAGCATGTTAGGTTAAAAGAATTTTAGGGTGTCTGATAAGAAAATCAAGGTCAGTGTGACTAAAGAAGAGTTAAAGAGAGGACTAGGATGGTTTATGGATGAAGAGATGGCAGAGGCTGCATTTCACAAAGCCTTGCAGACTATGGTAATATTTTCCATTTTATTCCAAGTGCATTAGAATGCCAAGAAAAGGCATTAAAGAAGGAAAGTAGTACAATCAGATTTTTATTTTTTTTAATTACTATGACTTCTATATGAAGAAGAGATTCAGAAGAGACAGATTCAGCTGTGAACTAGATAAGGGGCGCTTATTTCAACCATGATGGAGCTAGTAGATGCACACAAGTGGACAGATTTCAGAAAGTTTTAGAGAATGCATGCGTAAATAGCTTCCACCTGCATGCTCTTGTGTACATGCTCTACATGTGAATATATAGATCTACTTACATATACATATGTATGTTTGTATATAGATATGTATTTGTTTAGGAACATACTTAGAAAAGAAGATAGAAAAACACACCAAAATATTTACAGTGACTTCAATATTTAAGGTTATAGTATTTGGGGTTATGTTTACTTGCTGGTTTGTTTTGAGATGGAGTCTCCCTCTGTCACCCAGGCTGGAGTGCGGTGGCACAATCGTGGCTCACTGCAACCTCCGCCTCCTGGGTTCAAGCAATTCTCCTGTCTCAGCCTCCCCAAGTAGCTAGGACTACAGGCGCGCGCCACCAAGCCCAGCTAATTTTTTCTGTAATTTTAGTAGAGACGAGGTTTCAACATGTTGGCCAGGCTGGCCTCAAACTCTGGACCTCACGTGATCTGCCTGCCTTGGGCTCCCAAAGTGCTGGGATTACAGGCATGAGCCACTGCACCCAGCCTATTTGGGGTAATTTTTGCTGCCTTCTTTACAATTTTTCTTTTCTTAATATTCTACAATGAATATATGTAAATAAATATATATAGTATATATAGTATATGTACACACTTGTGTTAATGAGGCATTATGGAAATTAAATTATAAATATGGCTAGTATCAAGAAAGTCCTAATTCAAGTTTCATTACAAAAATTGTTTCCCACTACTCAAATATGATAAAGCACTTTTAACATAAACAATTTTTATAGGCAAATTATTGTGTTGGAGGCCCTCTCAATTGGTTCATGATCATGCATAGCTCCTAAAATATAAGAAGGTAACAATTTATAATACAATGGATTTCAATCGATGCCCTTTGCCATTAAATCACACTAGAATTCAATGACACAACTGATTAACAATTAAATTAATGGTGGTGACCTTGCAAATGAAAAGTGATATATAGTATTTATATTTTCCTCATCTTCCCTCTGTTTCTGAAAATGTAAAAATATTCTTTTAATGTTTGTAGTTTTTAATCTTAAAAACACAATGTTGAAGAGGAATTATCTGGAGAGTGCTAGATTAGAGTCAATTAAGATTTCCAAATTAAATTTTTAAATTTATAACTAGAGAGATTTTTAAAATGTTAGCAGTATTTTTTCCCCAGATTATCTATCTGCATAAGATTCTAGAGAATTCTGAGACATTCTTCTTGCTTTAGAGTTGGGTGCTACATAAACATTAATCAGTGCTAAGTAAAAACAAACCAAATATGTGTGTGTGTGTATATATATATATATATATATGCACCCCCATTGTTTAGTATCAGTAAATTTTACTAGAAATACTGAACAAGTATATGGCAAGCAATTGACAAAAATATTGGTTCCTGATCTCCTTTTAAATAGTATCTATGATGCTAAATAAAAAGTGTTCTAATAATAGAGGAAATATTTTCATATTTTAGGTCATATACATATACACAACATAATAGGGACGGGGAGAGGCATCATGAAATAACTCAAGGTAGTATACTATCTGAAAATTTATACTTATGAAAATTTATGTTATAAAAATAAAGTTAAATTGCTTTTTTAAAATTGCTTTAGGGTTTAGCTCTCTGTCTACATAGTTGGCAACCTTGGGTGACTTATTTTATTGTAATCTATTGTTATGTTAATTTCCCCTATTGCTACTTGTATAATTTTTATATACATAAGGCCTCAATAAATAAACTCTTTGAATAAAAAAGAACCCTAAGCATCTTTTTGCAAATAGTTCTAAATCATGAAAACACTAATATTTTATAATGCTCTAAGAAGCTAATGAACCAGAAATATCTTTAACCAAAGGCACTTTTCCTTTGGTTTTCACAAAGCAGAGAATCCTAATGGACAGGCAAGATAAATCATTTACTGTGTAAAACACTCATATACCTATTGAAAGGGTAACCACATCAAATGTTCTCTGGCTATTTAAATTACCTACAAAAAGAAATCTTAGCAAAGTGCAAAATGTGATAGACATTTGCAGTCTATCTGTAACTAGCCCAATTCCTTCAAAGAGAAATGTGAACATAAAATGCAAAAGCATGACTGAGGAGTCATTTCATGCATTCCTTGATTCCTCAGAATGGCTACAAGCAACGTTCTCATCTAGTGTGGGGCCTCACTATGCAAATCTGCCAAGGTTATCCCCGTGGGCAACCTACAACCAACGTGTCTTTGCCTTGGGCTCAGTGAGTTGACTATAATGGTTATCCTGGCAAGACGGAGCTGATCCTCTCTCAGAAGTAGACGATAAGATATTATCCAGCTAAAAGTTAAAAGTGGAAGACAGCTTACACTTCAAGGACTGGAGAAATCAAATTCAGTAATGCCATTTCTCAGAGGAAGTCTCAGATTAAGGACATAGACAATAAAGCTTTATATAAGGAAAATATTTGTTTAAGGTTGAAAAGGCTAAGATATAAACATCCAGTCAGTTTGATTTAAGGTGGAAAAAAAAGAATCTAATTCTTAGAATGGAGCTAGGGATATCAGTGGAAACTCTTCTTCCCTACACAAGTGACTTGACATGTTTCTTGTTTTTGATTCTAAAGTTGTTTTAGAAATTCAGATGTGAAAATACAAACATTCTCTGCTTTTTTCTCCCTTGTAGCTTTGATTCCTCAATATTCAATTTGTCAGCCAATCACATTAACTCTATGTCCAATTGATTTCCCATATGCCTGCTTTATTTTCTGTGGTTACCACTTCGGGACATCCTTCTCACTTCAATCCCCATTCTTCTGTGGTAGGCAAAAATTTGTAAATCCCCCAACCAAGGGTGTCCTGTCCTGATCCCCAAAACCTGTATTTATGACAAGATATCACTCCCATGATCATGTTATAGTATATGGCACAACTGACTTTCAGATTATCCAAATCAGCCGAATGTAATCACATCACTCTATAAAAGCAAAGAACGTTTTTTTCCCACTGGTGGAAGAAGAGAAAGTCATAGAGATTAGAAATATGAGAAGCACTCAAATGCCATTCCTGACTTGAAGTTGGAGATATCCATGTGAGATGCAATATGAGGAGCCTCTAGGAGAGAAAGTGGCCCTGTCTGGCTCACATTCAGCCAGGAAACATTATCCTCATGCTACAGCAATAAAGAACTGAATTTTTCCAGCAACCTGAATTACCTTGCAAGAGAGTTTTTCCCCAGTGCCTTCAAATGAGAACCCACCCTAACCAACCTTGATTTCAGCCTTATGAGACCCTAAGCTGAGAACTCAGCCAAGCTCACATGGACTCCTGACCTATAGAAACTGTGACATAATAAATTTGTGTGGTTTTAAGCTGATGAGTTTGTGGCAATTTGTTATACAGCAATAGCAAAAGAAGATACCTTCCCACCTAGCCATATTCATCAGATCAGCCTTTATAAATGACTCCATTCATCTTAACATTTGACTATGTAAAAATCTACAAGTCTTCTCAATGTTTCAGACCAAATTCAAAACCTTTATTTTGACTTTAAGATGCCAGTAAATTAATAAGCCAAAGTTTCTTATCCTACCAAAATTTTTACTATTCTTGTATAAAGATGCTCCTCTAATACTTTGTTGCATTTGTTCTCCCATTTGTCATGTTATAATTTTCTATGTATTTGTCTGTCACCTCCATTAAACTGGACATTAATTCCTTATATTCTCAGTACCTAGGACATCACTTGGCATCAGTAGATCTGTAATCCCACTCATGGATGAAACAACTCCACATTAAATCCAGGCCAGACCCTTACTGTTCTTTGACCAGGCCATGCAGAGCTCCTGCCTCTTTGCCTTGGCTAATATGCTTCCCTCAGCTGGAATATCTCATTTCTTCCACTATCTACCAACGTGCTGAGGGAAGAGTCAATATAAGACAGTCAATATACGGGTCCTTTGTTGAGGCAAAAAACTACTCTGGATTAATGTCTCCTTACATGATTGCAGAACACAACTAAAAAATCTGCATAGAAACAAGAGCCCACTAGTCTGGAGCCATAGAGTCTCCTTGACACTGAAAGGATACAGCCCTTCGGGGATATGTTTGTCAATTTCTTAACAAGTCTATGAATTTCTTGAGTAAAAGAACCACATTTTCTATTTTTTGGATACCACTAATAATATCTCGTTGGCATAGAATATATGCTTAAGGAACCAAATTTGCACTTAAGCTTCACAAATTTCAGACAACATAGCAACTGGTGTAGTTATCTTACTGCTCACTTTGTCACTATTTCTTTAATTCAAACTCCCTCCCTGCCTTGACTTACCAAACTGAAGCTGGATGGGAGAAACAGTGGGAGTAATAATACAACTAGGGCCCAGAGAAAACTTTCTCAAGATCACGTAGCTAGAAACATACTGGACCCAGGATTGAAACCTGTGGTTTCTGACGCCACAGCTCTGCCCATCATAACTCCCACACCTTCTTGCCTATCCCCACCCAACTCCCAGTCCCTAACAGTCTAGGATAAGAATCCTTTGTATTCCTACAAAGAGGTTGCTATGATTTGAATGTTTGTTTCTTCCAAAAAAAAAAAAAAAACTCACATTGAAATTTAATTGCCATTGTAAGAATATTAAAAGGTGGAACCTTTAAAAAGTGACTGGGTCATTAGAGCTCCACCCCGCTGGGTAGGATATGTGCTATGACACAGGGCAAGTTTGGTGACCTCTTGCCGTCTCTTGCTCTTCCACCATCTGCAAGGGGAAGAGGCAACAAGAAGGCCCTTGCCAGATGCTGGCCCCTTGATCTTGCACTTCTCAGATTCCAGAGCTGAGAGCCTATACAGTTCCATCTATTACAAATTACCCCGAATCAGGTATTCTGTTATAGCAGCAGAAATGGACTAAGATAGTGTATAATTCATGGGTAGAAAAATAATGAAATGACATGAGTGTTTTGAGATAGGCTTTCGACTACAAATATTAGAGACAAACCCTAAAAAGGATTACATAGAACTATCTTTATATGAATACACATATCAGACAGATAGACATTCAAACTTCCTCTGTCCAAGTCCTATACATGCCACTCCTTAGTATTTTCAGATTGCATCTTAGAGAAATCATTATTTTATATCAAAAAGTAGCTGGCCTTGACAGAGTATAATCAGGTTCACAGTTTATGGTTCTACTGTGATTAAAATTAGAACTTTGATGCTTGTTTTATAGATGAGAAATGACCTTCATATAATGTACATTGTTAGTAAATGATTTCTAAAACCACCTAGGGCATTTCTTTAAATCTAATTAAAAGCACAATTTCAAAACAAGCAGATCAAAATGTTTCCTATAAATCAGCCTGGTGTAGTACTAATAAAAAGTAATAAGGAGAAAATATTTTAATATTTACATATGAAAAGAAGTTCATGCTAAATTTTACAAAAGGCAGTTGTACCTGCTAATTGGATGTGTTACTAAACATAATTTATGCAAAGAATTCACCTTTTGGTGTAACCTAATATATATATCAGTCATTACATTACATTGATATTGCTAGATTATGGTGGGGATCAGGTCTCCCTAGCTTACTGCCTGATATGTAAGTATGCAAGAAATGTTACAGAATGGAGATAGAAGGTAAAGAAAGACAAACGTAGAGTAATGTGGAAAGGAAGGGGACAGAGTGAAGGGAGAAAATAAAGAAGACAGACAAAGAATATAAAGGAATGAGAAACTAGAAAAAATAGAATGGGAGGGAGGGAGAAGAAAGGGAGGGAGGGGGAAGGAAAGGAGGAAGGGAAGAAGTAGAAACAGAAAGGGAGAAAGGAAGAAAAAAGAGAAAGGGAAAAAGAGAGAAAGGGAAAGAAGGAAGATGTGAGAAAGTAGAAAAGGGAGAGAAATGGAAGGCAGGCATACTCCTTGCCCTCTTTTTCCCTTTCTCCTGCTGGCAAAGCCTGCTCCTCAGCCAGATGAAAGATTTGTTGTCTTAAGCATGCCATGTTCTGCAGGTCTCATAGCTGCCTATTTATACCAACCCTTTTCCTCCTGGTAAACTTCTCCTCATTGTTAAACATTCAAACAGTAGTGCCTCCCCTAGTCCAGGTGCTTCAGGAAGAATCAGAGACACCGGCCTTCCTGCTTCCCTATGACTTCTGCTGTCTCAGAGAGTCAAGTGAAGTTACCATTAGATACTTTTCTCATTATTGTGTACCTGTTGCTGTAGTGATAGGTGGTCTCCCCATTACGGTGTGATCTCCTTGAGTCAGGAAATGGTCTCAGCACTTTGTATTCCTAGATTCTTGCACAGGGCTTGGTTCACAGGAATTATTCAATAATTCTATAAATTATCACATTCAGTTCTCACAACTAACCATGTGAATTAGGCGTTATATTCTACATTTCAAAAGAGAATAAACCTCAATTCAGATTATTTAAGTGACTTGTACAGTAACACTCGTGTAAGTGAGCCTGAAAATAATTCTTTTGTTTTCACTGATGAGATCTAGAATTGAAATAATAAGTTCTAAGAATTAAAGTACAACAAACTCCCATGACACAAGTTTATCCAAGTAACAAACCTGCACTTGTACTCCAAACTTAAAAGCTAAAAAAAAGAAAATGCCACCAAAAGTTCTTTAATGTATTTTTAAATGATAAGTGGAAATAAGGCCAAATTGTGGCTGTTTCATTGTGAATTTTTGAGAATTGTATTCTTCCCACGTATCTATATGAGAAAGGGAAAATTTGTGTTAATTTATGAAACAGAAACCTAAGATGCGCCATGTTCTCTTATTTGTTATTTATAGGAACTGGCTTATAAAACTGGGGCAAAAATAAAATAAAAATTCTACAACTGAAAGCATTTGCATTTGTTTTAGACATAGAGTTTTACATCAACTAAAGATTTGTGAATTTTTGGTGTGTTCTTTCATATATTAATTCAATAAATGTTTCCTGCCCATATATGCTAAGTAAGCACTGACTCTCTGTTTAATCTTACTTTAGTTTACACTTGTTAAAATATTTTCCCATGCCATACATTTCTAGTTCAAACATGGAATTAATTTTCTTTGGTGGCTTTTTGTTGGTTTTCCAATCTTATATTTTGTTTATTTTGCAATAGGACGTCGAGTTTAAGTAAACTATGTGTTCAGCCAAGGTTATGCATTCCTCTTGTTTTATAAATTGTCATTATTCATACAAGACTTTGCTCTTTTCTACTGTATTATACAGTATTTTGTGATTTTCTTTATTTTGTCTTATAATTACAGTTTGGGATATATATTCAGTATATCATTTTATATTTGACCAAAATCACAAATCTATTAATATTGCTAAGACAGTTTTCCAACAGAGCTATGATTTCCGAGTATTTGCCCTATAACTTCAAGGATACAATAAAATTTAACTTAAGGGCTTAAAATCTAAGCAGAACTGGTGCTGTTTCATCAGGCAATGCATTGAATGGTTTATAAACTGAACATGAAAATGTCTAAAAGAAGGCGTCTCCCAGAGCCCATTAACCTTCAAGACGCCTTAGCCTTTCTCTTTTTTTTTTTCTGACATGAGTAAAGTGAACAGGATTTTAATAAAAGTCCTGCAGCAGATATTCCTGAAAGGTCAGGGCTCATGATAAAGCTGCCAGCACTGCAACTTTAAGAAAAGAGATCCCGACGACCTTTAATAACACTAGGTCTGCCAGTGCTCATTGTAGAGGATCTGTATTTTAAAATTCCATTTGAGAAACTGACTCCCCCATTTGACAGGATCATGGTCTTTAATCTTACTTTTGGTGTGTAAGAGCTGGCGGTATGCCCCATGGAAACTTGCATTTTGTATGCTTCTGAGGACCTTGGGAAATAATTTTCTCTAGTGATAGAAATGCTTCCCCGTCTTCAACTTTGACTTTCTGATCACCCATTTCATTAATACTAAGTACACCATATCTGAAAGTAGAAGGAATTTAATATTGAAGAAGTAGACTTGATTCACCAAAGCTTCTATTTCATTTATTTTCATTTTCGTTCCTTAATCTCTCTTCAGCTTTTTATAGATTGAATAACTCTGAAATCAGGAATTAGTGATATACAACAGTAATTTCCACATCTATGTTTTCACTAGCAGAACAAAGGTACAATTATTACTAAAAATATATTTGTTATTATAACTCCAATTTAATAAGGGGTAAACAAAGACTTTAAAAACTTCAGTAAGTTGCTCGAGTTAACATAGGTAATAAATAACAATGCCAGAATTTACTGTTTTCAGATCACTCAGTTTCAAAACCTCATACAATTTCCATTCTCTAAGATGTACATCTACATTTCTGTCTTCATCATCTCAGTTTAAATTAAATTAACAAATAACTCTTTGGAAGCTAGAATAACATTATGAGTAAAAAGTAAAATCTTGATGTAAACTATTCCAGAGAATAGAAATAGAGGGAAACTTTCCCCATTCTTTTTGTGAAGTAATTTCATCAATGAAAAATCTGGCAAAGAATTTACCAAAAGAAAGCAAAAACAAAAACAAAACAACAACAATAACAACAACTCAGACCACTCTCACCAGAGTGCCAATCGAAAGTCTTCAATAAAATAACACTAAATAAAATTGAATACCACATTATAAATGATATCACACCATCAAGTGAAGATTCTTCTAGCAAGCCAAGGCCGTTCAACACTAGGAAGTCTAATAGTATAATTCACATCATAATAATAGAGCCAATGAGTAAAGCAATATCATAATCTCCAGAGATGTTGAAAAGGCATCAGACAAAATTCAATACTAGTAATTTAACAAAAACAAAAACATTCTGTAACATAAGAATTGATGAATTGATGACTCCTTTGTAAACATGAGAGTGTACTTGTATGTATGTATATGACTATATTTGTATATATAGTTTTGTTTATATCTTCATCAAAAGCCATTTATATCTCCATCAAAAGCAGTATTTAGCCAGCATCTTCCTTAAAGGACAAACACTAGAGACCTTTCCACTAGAACAAGATGGTGCTACCCACTGTTTTTACTGTGATTTAATATTATATTGGAGATCTATGACAAAGAAAGCAATTAGAGGCCTACAACTTGGGGAGACAGAGCTAGAACTACCTCTGCTTACAGATGATATTATTAGTTACTTGAAAACTGAAAAGTATCAATGAAACAACTAGTATATAGAAAGAGAGAATTTAAGAAGATGGCAAGCATAACTTTAACATACAGAAATCACTAGCCTACATGTAATTACAAACAGTTTTGAAGATATTATGAAGGTGAGCAGAAAACCTTTTAACCTTAATTCCAAATAATAGTTTTTCAATTTTTTTTCTTTCATTGGAGAGGTGGGGCAAGTGTGATGTGTGCCTAGAACAATGAGATTTTGTGACTCAGAAGAAAGGAAAGAGGAAACATCTCAGTAGAGAACCTTGCATGGGGAAGAGGGAAATTTGTTGCTGTGAAGCAGTACTTTAGAAAAATTAATCACAGAAAAAAATACAACTAGATACTTTAGAAAAATTAATCACAGGAAAAAAAATACAATCAGGATGCGATGAGAACCTGAAAAGGTGAAGCAGCAGTGTTAATGGAATGGACGGGATAATAGGAGACATTTAAAAGGATCAACCATATTAATGGCTGGAATCAAACATTTGTAGAAAGAAGTAAATCAATTAAGGCAGGGACAGAATGTTAACCAGGAGGTCTGTATAATCATTTGGTGATAAGTGTAGAAACACCAGTAAAAGGAGTGCTATAGAAATTGTGGTCAATAACTATTCCACTAAGAGTTTCTACTAGTTCACATCTCTTGATGAAAATCATTTAAAAGTTACAAAGTAGTCAGGCCTTCGATATGAATTCAAAACTAACTGGACCAGTACTTTTCCTTTTTTTCTGATATTTTCCTTTGTTCTCATATGTCTATTCCAAAAAGCCAAATATAAATGCCTTTCATTTCACTGTGTCATGCTGAGAAAGGCAAGATGAAAAGGGCGAGAACAAAGAAAAAGAACAGATGAAAAAGTAATGTTGGAAGTTGTAAAGGAGTTCTCTGGGCTTTTTTCCCATCACTTACAAGTTGGAAGGTGAAAATTAAAGCTCACCAGACATCAAGAATGTCATTTTCCTTCGACTCAATGTGCTTCCATTTTGGGTTCTTTGCAGTTGTAACGCTCAGCCGGAAATTCTTCTTCCGCCATATCCTACATCGCTGATCACTTGGTCAAATGCCACATCACCAGAAAAGCCCATCTCCCACTGTTCTGTATCCCCTGAACCTTGCTGTATTTCCCACTGTAGCGCTTACTGTATATTTAGTTCATAATTTATCTCCTGTCGTGAGACTACAAAGTTCAAGATATGAGAGGTTTTTTTTCCTGTTTTTCTTATATTCCCTTCGCTGTTGCATTCTGAGAGCCTGAAACTGTTATCTGCCATATGATAGGCATCCACGAGATATTGGTTAAATAAATGAATGAACAAATTAATGAATGAGCAAGCCCTAGAAACAGTATTCTACAAAGTTCTTACAATTATATTTTATTTTGTAATCAAGACAATTTCAAGAAAGAAAAAACAATTAGAGCATTTTCCCTTTAAAAAATACTAAGCAATATCTATGCTACATAGTTTATTTTCAATGAATCAACAAAAAAAAAATCTGATCTTTCTTGAATTCTTGAAGTTGACCAGTTTTTTCAAAAGGGAGGCAGTGATTAGTTTTGGGTGGCCACATCTCCTCCTGCCTGTTTCCAGCTCTTTCTCTTTGTATTAGGGTATTTCTCCTTTTCATTCAGACTCACATTTGTTAAGCTTCAAAGCACTCCATGGTTTATTATGGATTTTTCACTCTAGGAAAGAGGTCATCACTTTATTAAACATTAAATAATGGTGATAATCAATAATAATTGATATATTGTCTCTATTGGTACTATCAGAAAAAACAAACATAAGCATTTCAGGTTACTATGTGCATCAAGAATTCTAATGTTTTGAAAATCTGCATAATATATCAAATGTGCTGTGATTTATTTATCTACCTGTTTAGTGTTGAACAGTAAATTTTATTCCATTTTTTGGTGTTATAAATAGAAACGTGGATCTCTCTTGGCACTTGTCCTTATGTCCAATTTCATCCCAAATTCATGCAAAATTAATCAAATTGCAAGCTCTTGATGCATAGACTCACAAGCAAAAGTCTACTTATTGAGATACTGTGTTGATAACATGATATAACTTTCATGTTGCTTCTCTCTAACTTATGAACTTGTTGTCCTTTCATCAGTGAAAATGAAAATGAAGAACTATCACTTAAGAAAGTTCTACTACAGATACACCAGGGCTTTGATATCAGACTTGACCTGAAGGGCTCCTCTAGTTATGAGCTGAGGGATGAGAAGCGGACATGCAGGAAGATCCCCTTGGCATGGCAACCTTTGCAAAGCACTGCCTGATAGTCTCCCTCCTGCTGTGCCCAGTGTCAAGAGAATGAGCTTATAATATTTTGTAAAATATGTAGATTGAGAAATCGGAATCTCATTTATCCCAGAAAACAGATTTCCTAGTATCAATATAGCTTAACTTTTTCTTGAAATGAAGGTCATTTTACGAACATAAATTTTTCTCCAAAATGAATTCAAACAGAATTTTAAAAGTATGGAGCTGGCATAAATATTTTGTGAACTGAATATAAACACTTTGACTTCATTTCTCATATGTATTTCACATGCATGAAATCAAGAGAGAAAGAAATTCCATTGGCATTCAGCCAAGGAAATTGATTTTTTTTTTACCACTGTGCCACTATATTATGGTTTATTATCTCCAGAATATTACTCTAAATAGTGCTACCCAACAGAATTTTCAGCAGTGATGGAGATATTCTGTATCTGCACTGTCCAATATGGTAGCCTCTAGCCACACATGATTGTTGAACACTTAAAATATGGCTAATGCAACTAACTAAGGAACTACATTTTAATTGTATTTAATTTTAGTTAATTTTAATTTTGGTTTTAATATTTGCATTTGGTTAGTGGGACAGCCCAGCCATCGGGTAGGTCATTCCATTTCTGCATTTCTTTTATCCTCTCTCCACATTCTGCTTGAAAGCTGAGAAAGCTGCCTTGTACCTCCAGTTCTATGATTTCACTCTGGATACTGCTAGAAAAGTAGCCCTTTACCTATGACAGAATGGTGGTTTCCAGAATGTACTAATCCCCAAACCTATGAATATGTCACCTGACATGACAGCAGAGACTTTGCAGATGTGACTAAATTAAGGATCTTGAGGTTTAGAGATTATCTTGGAAATGTGGGTGAGCTCAATATGATCACTTTTCAGAGGGAGGCAGTAAGGTTAGAAATGAAGAGGAGATGAAAAGACTACCAGGACCAAAACAGGATAGAGAGGAAAGAAGATGCTACGTTGCTGGCTTGAATATAGAGGAAATGGGCCATGAGCCAAGGAATGCAGACTGCCTTTCGAGGTTGGAAAGGCAAGGAAACAGTTTCTCTCCAACAAGAACTTCCACATTTGAAACTTCTGGCCTCCAGAATTTTAAGACAATAAAATTGTGTTGTGGTAAGCCACTAAGTTTGTGGAAATTTGTTACAGAAACAGTCGGAAACTAGCATTCTGTCCTGGAAAATCACTTGTTCCCAGGACACTGATCTGTGATGAAATAGGTAGGTCTGAAACAGGAAACCAAACACCGCATGTTCTCATTCATAAGTGGGAGTTGAACGATGAGAACACATGGACACAGGGAGGGGAACATCACACACCAGGGCCTGTCAGGGGATGGTGGGCTAGGGGCGGAATAGCATTAGGAGAAATACCTAATGTAGATGACAGGTTGATGGGTGTAGCAAACCACCATGGCATGTGTATACCTATGTAACAAACCTGCACTTTCTGCACGTGTATCCCAGAACTTAAAAAAAAAGAAAGAAGAGGAAAAATAGGTCTGCGGTGCTGCTCCACAGAGAGCGGCCAGGACCCCATTTCATCTGCCAAAAGAAAATGTATACGCAGACTCGTATTGCTGGAGTCCATTATGCCTTTTAAGAACTATGCCTCTTAAACAGTACGGTGCTTGTGGGTAAATCATCCCTGCCATTTTTCCTATTCAAACATGTTCTGGTATCTACTAACACAACTGTATTAGGTGTGTAAAAGGCATCTCTTCCCTGAGTCTAAGCAGAAGTGCTACCTCGCCCCCCTACCTCCCATCAAATCTGTGGCTGCATAAATTGACTTTATAAAGAAATCCTGCTTTGCTTAAACAGCTTTGGAAAGCTGTTTAATATATTTGGCCGTAATTGGTTTTGTTTTACCATCTGGTTTAGACTTCCCCCTCAGCCAACTTTAATTTTGAAGTTAATCATTTTTAAATTGGGCTTTGAATGCACCTAGGTCAGATTTGCCACATCAGAGGAGAGTTTATGTTTGCATTATTCTCAAAAAGATTCTTCAGTTTTGCTTTGTTTTTTGCAGTTTATTTCCCTATGTGAGTTTCATTTAAAGGAAATTGGTGCCTATACTAATAGCTGAGTATTCACATGTGTGGAAGACTTTCCTTGGCATTAACCATTAGATACCATCTGATGCAGCTGTCAGTGACATTGGATGTGCATGGGGCTGTGGAATTGAATGTTGACCATAGTATTCTGCATCTAGTTAGGGAAGTCAAGCAGTAATTTTGATCTTTCTACTTAGTCAATTGTTTGGCCGAATACATTGACTTATTTGGGAGAGTAGAACTTTTTTTGGTGGAGAAGAAGTTGTGTCGTGATGGTATATTTTGAGTTAACCTCAATCATGACAAACCAGAATGATTTCCTAGATGCACAGAGAAGGAAAATGTTAAAGACTCTCAATTGCTTTTTAATATATAATATGCAATATGGAAATCTGTCACGACACTTGAAAAGAAAACATTTATAAGTGAGGCCTGCTTCACAGTAATGACAAAAACAATAGACACTAACATAAATAAATAAATACATAACAAAATATTTGCCAATAAACTCAAGTTTAGATTTCAGTAATTAGGTTTGGAAATGCATCTTTGCTACTGAGACACAAACCCCTAAAAACAAACAGTTCATTGGTTGTATGAAATGCTGAGAAAAAAAATGGTTTCAAAAAATGCTAATGCTGTAATAATTTGAAGAGAATAAAAGTAGGATCAAGATCCTCTAACCAGGATCAAATTATTGCCTATCCATTTTTCTGAAGGGCAATCAGACGATTTTTATGTAAGATAATAAATCTGTAGAAGTGAACTGTTTGTAATTAAACATGGCACATCATTTCATGACCATTTATAAAGTCAAGTGCTTGTTAACAAAACCGATTTTCATTGTTATTACTTTCTTTAAAATTATTTTCATGTGAGATGAATTCTTTTCTTGAAAGTAGTCCAGCTTTGGGGGCATTCTGAAATTTAATTATCCTGGGCTTGAAAAAAAGCTACGTTTTGACTTACCATGTTTTTTGTTTGTTTGTTTCTAGTGAACTGAAGAATAATTGAATAATGAGTTTATAGTAACAATTTTATAATATGCATATCTATCATAGAACAGGAACTACAGTAGAATCATTGGTGCAGTCTTGATTTCTTAACTTAAAACTAAAATTAGGGATTGAGTGCCTCATTCGAAAATAGCAGCATTTAAGTGAATGTAGAGTTAACTTATAAGAATGTGAACAATACAATATCTTTCCAATATTTAATGTTATCATTTGTCATATATAAAAATAATTAAAACATCTCTTTCCTCTCCCAGTTTTACTTTCAAAGTTTCAGCAATAGTCGATTCCCTGCATACACAATTTACCATGCTGCTAAAAGCCTTTATACCTAATTTTGCCCACACTGCTCTCGTGACCCAGAGTTCCTTTTCATATTCTTAACCCTCATCCACCCTGCAAACTCAGCTCAAGCACCACATCTAAAGAGATTCCAGAAGGACAAGCCTCCCCATCACCACCATAGATAGCATCATATATATAGCAACCCTGTATGCCCCACAGTATCCTGCCCATGCGTCTACGAAAACACTTCCTGCATTGCACGGAATTTGCCAAATTTGCTTAGAGTCCCCAGTGCTTCATACAGTGCATGAAACATAATAGGCAGCCAATAAATACCCTTTTCATTTATAAACAAGAATGTAAAGTACTGCTTACTTCTCACTAGTGGTTTCTTCAATAGACCTTAAAGATACCTTCTCTAGAAAGCATTTCATTTTCCAGCCCCTATTAACGTTAGCCAATTTACTTATACAGTCAATTTCATGTTTTGATTTGAATGTATGTTCTCAAATGGAGCCCTAAAGATATCAGTACATTTAATTCCATATAAAAACAAATAAAACAGTGTTTAGCAATTGACGTTGGGACATAAACAGATGAAAAAGGCAGTTGTCATATACCATAGTAACCAGAACTTCCATAAACGAGTTAAGACCTTTAAACGAGAATACATTTGAAATGATTTATTTCTATAAAGTCTTGCTTAGTTGAGTATTCACATAAATAGTGACAATATTGTGTAATCAATGGGATTTTTTGTTTGTTTGTTTGTTGGTTTTTTTGAGATGGAGTCTTGCTCTGTCACCCAGGCTGGAGTGCAGTGGCGCAATCTTGGCTCACTGCAAGCTCCGCCTCCCGGGTTCACGTGGGATACTATATTCTAACAAGTGTATCGAGAAGTAACAGTTATGAACACACTTGTTTTGAATGTGCTGTAAATAACAAAATGGTAAAACTGTTTTATTTGAATTAACACATTATTAAATGGGTTATGTTCCATCTTTACTAAAACAAAGCATGAGATTATGATGAAAGAGTAAGCGTGTAAGTCACCAGTTCTATCTCCCACTACTTGTTGACATTTATGAGATGAGATTTGTGCCCTGGGTCCTCTATCATTTTTTAACAGAAAAAGAAACAAGTGTGAAGAAGGCTAGAAGGCAAGGATTAAGGATATTAATCTTAGAATTGTATGGCAATAGCAAGCTGTGAGACCTTTGGAAAGCTGTTTAATATATTTGGCCATAATTAAGTGCATCTCTGAAGGAACTATTAAAAACAGATGCTTTAAAAAAATGTTACAACCTTGAACTTTTTTGATTCTTTTTGGGCTTGAACATCTAAAATAGATGAGGAGAAGTTCCTTAAACTGTTTTCTTCAACTCAGTCATTAAAACACATTTATTGAGCTTCTACTATATCTCACGTGCAGACCCAGGTCTTATAGCAATAACCCTCCCCCAGAAATTTAGAATCTAATTGGAGAGAGAGTAAAATAGAGATAAAACAAAACCCTGTGTCATGTACCTATTAATCCAATATCTCTTGGCCTTCTGAAGGATCAGAAAACTTAACTCCCTGCCTTCTTTCAAACATGTTCAAATCCTCCAACTCCAGTAACATAGATCTCTTTTCTTCACTTTTTGGCAAAATCAACAGCCTTTTTGCAAACCGTATCTGTCACAAATGGCCTCTCACAGAGAGATTTCTAGCTAGCTCAATTTACAACAAACATTGCCTTCCAAACGGAATAGCAGGTTTTCCAGGAAATTAGGTAAAATAGCAAGGACCATAACAAAACAGTAGTAATTGTTTAAATAGTTTACCACAATATTTATTTTGGATCAGCTACAAAAGTAATGTCAGAAACTTCATTTCAGTTTCTTCAGTCTACAAATACTAAAAATCTGCATAAACACAGTATACCTATTTGGCCCCACTACTAAAAAAAAAAAAAAAAAAAAAAGAGCTAGAGCCAGACATTAGAGAGAATGTGTCTGGCCAAAAGACATCCCAATTGTTTAAAGACAATACATATGTGTGTGCTTGTTTGTTTATTGGTGAATAAGAATTATTTAAGTATATATTGTGTGCTTTCCAAGGATCTCTGATTGGCAGCTATGATTCTCCACTGTAACTTATGACAATTCTGTGGCATTAAAAAGTACTAGGGCAGGGTGTGGTGGCTCACACTTGTAATTCCAGCACTTTGAGAGGCTGAGGCTGGTGGATCACTAGGTCAGGAGATCAAGACCATCCAGGCTAACATGGTGAAACCCTGTCTCTACTAAAAATACAAAAAATTAGCTGGGCCTGGTGACGCATGCCTGTATTCCCAGCTACACGGGAGGCTGAGGCAGGAGAATTGCTTGAACCCGGGAGGTGGAGGTTACAGTGGGCCAAGATCGCGCCACTGCACTCCAGCCTGGGTGACAGAGTGAGACTCCATCTAAAAAAAAAAAAAAAAAAAAAAAAAGTGCGTGTTTGTGCCCAAGTCCTGACTGTGTCACAAATGTGCTATGTGACCTTGAGCACTCTTAATATCATGGAATTGCCACAATTTTTAGTTTCTTCATCTGTAAAATAAAGGCATTAAATAAGGAGTTCTGTAATTTTTCTAGCTCTAAATTTTACCACTCCATTTCAGTGGTTTGAATTTTCTTTGAACCCAGGAGAAGTGAACAGATGTGGATTTTACAATTTAAAAATTTAAAGCAACAGAAAAGCATACACACATGCATCATGACAATTTCATAGCAGTGTGATTTTAACAGGCTGTTACCTTAAGGTCTGAAACAAAAATAAAAAGATCTTCAACCATATTCATAGGAGTGAATATAACATTAGATGTCTAAGACTGTGTAAACAATCTTCATGGCCAAGAGGCTCAATTATAATGATTCTCTCCTGATATGTATTTCATTTGATGTGATACATATACACCATGAAAAACTATGCAGCCATAAAAAGAGTAAAATCATGTCCTTTGCAGCAACATGGATGCAGCTGGAAGGTATTATCCTAAGTGAATTCATGCAGAAACAGAAAAATATCACGTTCTCATTTATAATTGGAATCTAAACAGTGGGTATACGTGGACACAAAGATAGAAAGAGTAGACACTGGGGACTCCAAGAGTGGGAGGAGGGGCAGAGAGACAAGAGGACATGGTTGAAAAACTACCTACGGAAAACTTTATTTATTATTTGGGTGATGGGTTCAATAGAAGCTCAAACCTCAGCATTACACAATATACCCATGTAACAATCTTCACATGCATAACTTGAATCTAAAATTTTGCTTAAAAAGGAAAAAATGTATATTTCATTTGAGATTTCCCATCATCTACAGCTCTTATAAATTGCAGTGATGTCAGTGGTCTTTGCTGAAGATTTTATGCGCATAAATTGTGTTCTCATAGGGAGATTTGACTTCATATCTTGGCTACTGACATAGAAACATTTTTTATATTATGCGCATAAATTGTGTTCTCATAGGGAGATTTGACTTCATATCTTGGCTACTGACATAGAAACATTTTTTATATGTCTAAATGGCAAATTGCTCAATTTAAGCATAAATCAACAAATGTATCACCAATATTTCAGCAGACGCTAATTCTTTTTCCCGTATCATTTAAAAAGTTATTAGATCCGCTGGCTTGATGGGGTCAATTCCAGTTTTTAAAATCTTGGTCCACGTGTCTATGTGTCTTTGGACAGTTCTAGGCATCCAGTGCCCCAAAGTCATGGGAGACTTAATTCAGCAAATCATATGCTAATTGAATGTCTTCCCTGGTGCAGTTCTTCCCTGGTTACTATTTTTACCTTTCCTTTTTAAGAGTTGGGGCAAACCTTATGGTATCTTCTGAATACAAGTCAATATTCAATGGACGTTTTAAATAAGTTAATTGTATCTAATGTGTGTGTAGCTCAATGTAAACATTGCCATATTTATATCTACTATAGGAGCCAAGGGCCCTCTCAAAGCTCACTGAAAAATCAACTTGCAAAAAGCATATTGGAGAAAAAGCATACAAATGTATTTAATGCATATACATGGGAGCCTGTAGAATAAAGGCCAAAGATACAGAGGAAATTGTCCATTTTTAATGTCTACGTTCAACCAAGTGTGGACAGCCATCTAGAAACATGATTGAAGGAAAAAAGGGCCTGATCTAATGCTAATAGATTTAGTGGGGAAACCCAACAAGGCCTAAGTTCTTCTTGGCCTCTCTCTACAGCATTCCTTCTTTCAGGGTATGGAAGGACCCTCTCTGGAATGGAGGTTTTATGACCTACAGTCAAACAATATACAATATATCAATTGTATATTGATAATTTCTTATGGCCAGTTTTTACACAGAATGGTGGAGGGAAAATTAGAGTGATGTTTTTAGGTTTTATGGCTGGCTTTGGGGAAAAGGGGTTCTGGTTTCTATGACCCACTTTGGGGAAGAGGGATTCTAGTTTTTATGACTAACCTTGGGGGATAATAGGATCTAGACACAGGAGAGCAGGAAAAGTACAGAGAAAATCTTTTGCTTCTGAGACTGCCACTGAGGCCTTCATTTGGGATATTGTTTTCTGATCCCCAACATCTGAGCATCCTAGAAAATAAAAATTTATGCAGTGGCTCATTCCTGTAATCCCAGCACTTTGGGAGGCCAAGGTGGGCTGATCGCCTGAGGTCGGGAGTTTGAGACCAGCCTGGCCAACATGGTGATACCCCCGTCTCTACTAAAAATACAAAAATTAGCTGGGCATGGTGGCGGGTGCCTGTAATCCCAGCTACTGGGGAGGCTGAGGCAGGAGAATCACTTGAACCCCAGGAGGCAGAGGTTGCAGTGAGCCAAGATCATGCCATTGCTCTCCAGCCTGGGTGACAAGAGTGAAACTCCATCTCAAAAATAATAATAATAATAATTTACTAATTACACACTTCTGCCTTGGGAGAATATCTTTTATTTAAGTTAATGTATCTTATATAGGCTTTTAGAAGCCATTTGTGTCTCCTTATTTTTCAGAATACTGATTGCAGCATGTTTGATACTTTTTAAGCAAAATCACACTGAAAATAAGACATTTCAACTGTTCTTCATTAGTGAATATTTGGGAGAGCAGAATGCAATGATGCTTATCTAAGGGGATGTTTCAGTTTGATTTCAGGGCTGTAAAAAATGGTGAAGCCATTAAAAGAGACATCCCACTTCAAATGATATAGTTATATTTGTAAATTGTCCTATTTTGTTAAACTTAAAACAGTTCTATATTTAAGTAACTGTAACTACTTGTAGGCATTCGGAAGAATAAACCTTAAAATAATTTATTGCTTTCATGGTGATTTTATTGAAAACGTCACTTCCTTTAAATCATTTCATCAATTATTCTCATAAGAAAATACAATGTCAGTGAAATAAACAGAAAATCAAATACCACATGAACTCACTTATAAGTTAGAGCTAAATGACGGGTACACATGGACACTCAGAGTGAAATAATAGATACTAGAGCCTCCAAAATGTTGCGGGGAGGAAGTATTGAAAGGTCACCTGTTGCGTACAATGCTCACCATTTGGGCGACGGATACATTAAAAGCTCAGACTTCACCATATATGGATGTGAGACATCTGCACTTATACCCACTAAATACAAATAAGTAAATGACTGACACGATATTATATTATCCAATAACAATTACTCATACTAGTAATTTCTTTAAGAAAGAACAGCTGTGGCTGGGCATTGTGGCTACACCTGTTACCCAATACTCTGGGAGGCCAAGGTGGGAGAATTGCTTTAGGCCAGAAGTTTGACACCAGCCTGGGAAACATAGTAAGAATGTGTCTCTAAAAAAAATTTTAAAAATCAGCCAGGCATGGTGATGCATGCCTGTAGTCCTAGCTTCTCAGGAGGCTGAAGAGGGAGGATTGCTTGAGCCCAGGTGTTTGAGGTTACAGTATGCTATGATCACAGCACTGCACTCCAGCCTGAGCAACAGAACTCACATCTGTAATCCCAGAACTGTGGGAGGCCAAGGCGGGAGGATTTCTTGAGGCCAGGAGTTCAAGGCCAGCCTGGGCAACATAGAGACCCCATCTCTACAAAAAAAAAATTTAAAAATATAATTAGTTGGGTGTAGTGGCACGTGCCTATAGTTTCAGCTATATAAGAGGCTGAGGCAGGATTGCTTGACCCTAGGAGTGTAAGGCTTCAGTGAGCTATGATTGAACCACTACAGTCCAGTCTGAGAAAGACCCTGTCTCAAAAAAAAGAAAACAAAATAGAATACTTACAAATTTATGGTGTTTTCATTCTTGTATAGCTTTGGTATTCTTGTATACTTTTGATATTACTTGTATATTGATTAACTTGTGAAAATATATCTTTGCTTAACTATTGGGTTTCTCCAAGTTTGGTCTTGCTTTTCTAAGTGTTGTATCTATATATAAAGCCTTCAGTAATTTTGCAGGTAACGGGACTTATGTTAAATATTGTCTTTTCTTCATCTATAAATGAAATAGCATTCTGATAGATGAGATTATGTAAATCCTTTAGTCAGACGATTAGACTTACTGCATAATTATATTTTAGACATGAGATCATATAGTAGCCTCAAATTGTATGACAGATTTGAGAGAAAAGGGATAAATAATCTAAAACTCACTTGAAAGTCAGCAGCCTGAGACATTCTCTGTTTCTGTGTACAAATATGTTAGAAAAATGGTTCTGAAACACTTTGACATTCCTCACTACTTAAAGATTATGTAAGAAAGTAGCAGGATGGAAACTGCCTTATTATTTTCTTTTTTCTTCTTCTTCTTCTTCTTTTTTTTTTTTCCCCCCAGACAGAGTGTCACTCTTTCACCCAGGCTGGAATGCAGTGACACAATCTGAGCTCACTGCAACCTCCGCCTCCTGGGTTCAAGCCATTCGCAAGCCTCAGCTTCCCAAGTGCGCCATCACGCCAGGCTGATTTTTGTATTTTTAGTAGAGATGGGGTTTCACCATGTTGGACAGATTGGTCTTGAACTCCCAGGCTCAAGTGATCCACCCACCTCAGCCTCCCAAAGTGCTGGGGTTACAGGCATGAGCTGCCGTGACAGCCAAAAACTGCCCTATTTTCACAGTGAATACACAAAAGAGCTATAAAATTAAAACATGAAGCTCCTTTGCAGTAATCATTAATGGAGCACAAAACCCTCAAGCCAGCCTATGAAATGCCAGTTCAATTCCGTGTCCGTTCTGTAATTCAGGAAAAACTCTACAAAAGTATCTTACAAAGGAAGTATTCTGCTTTACTAAATCTTTCCTTTAATGAAATACTGATCTGAAAACCCCTAATTGAAGTAGGATGAAATTCATTCAAAAAATATCAAGCATGTGCCAGGCACTGTATGCCAGTGAACAAAGATGCATGCCTTCACTGCATTTTAGCAGAGGGAGTAAAACAAAGAAACGGCAGGGCAGAGCACCAGGATGTCAGGCTGCAATTTTTTTTTTTTTTTTTTTTTTTTTTCTGTGAGACAAAGTCTCGCTCTGCCGCCCAGGCTGGAGTGCAGTGGCGCGATCTCGGCTCACTGCAAGCTCCGCCTCCCGGGTTCAAGCGATTCTCCTGCCTCAGCCTCCCGAGTAGCTGGGACTACAGGCGCCCGCCACCACGCCTGGCTAATTTTTTGTGTTTTTAGTGGAGACGGGGTTTCATCGTGTTAGCCAGGATGATCTCGATCTCCTGACCTCGTGATCCGCCCTCCTCGGCCTCCCAAAGTGCTGGGATTACAGGCGTGAGCCACTGAGCCCGGCCCAGGCTGCAATTTTAAACAGAGCGATTAGAGCAGGCCTCATTGGGATGGCATTTGTGCACAAAGTCAAAAGTGATGAAAAAATTATCCATGAAGTTTTGTGGGAGAAAAGCATTCTAGGCAGACACTAGCAGTCACAAAGATCCCATGGCCAGCTACACTGGAAGAATAGCAAAGATGGCCGTTGTGGACAAGGCAGAGTGAGCAGGAGGAATTCAATAGGAATTGAATGAGGTGGGGTGGAGTGCATGTAATTTAGGGCTCCATAGACCATTGTAAGCTTTCTTTTACTCAGGTAGGAAGCCATCTAAACAAGACTTAGACTTTTAAAGGATCAGCCTGGTTGCTATGAGAGTAGAATAGGTTGGGTGAGAAGAGACACAGATGAGGCAAAATAAACACCAGCCGGGAAACCACAGAAATAATCCAAGCATGCTATGATAGTGTCTTGGATGAGAATAATAGCAGTAGAGATGGTAGCTATGGTAGTGTCTTGGATTAGGGTAATAGCAGTAGAGATGGTAGCTATGATCGTGTCTTGGATTAGGGTAATAGCAGTAGAGATGGTAGCTATGATAGTGTCTTGGATGAGAGTAATAGCAGTAGAGATGGTAGCTACAATAGCGTCTTGGATTATGGTAATAGCAGTAGAGATGGTAGCTATGATAGCGTCTTGGATTAGGGTAATAGCAGTAGAGATGGTAGCTATGATAGTGTCTTGGATTAGGGTAACAGCAGTAGAGATGGTAGCTATGATAGTGTCTTGGATTGGGGTAATAGCAGTAGAGATGGTAAGATTTTAGGTAAGATTAGATGAAGGATGTGAGGAGTCCAAGATCATTTCTGCCTGAAAAGCCAGAAGAATGGAGTGGCCATTAAGTGATTGAGGACGACTGAGAAGAAAAATTTCAGAGGCAAAAATATGCTTTATTTATTTATTTTGAGGTGTCTAGTAGATACCTAACTGCAGATGAGGTGGGGTGGAGGGCAGGTAATTTAGAGGTTAATATAATCTGATGTCCTTATAATGAGATGAGATCACCAAGATGAGTACTAAGAGAGGAGGCAAGCAGCCCAAGGTCGAGCTCGGGGGCACACCGATGTTTTATCAAAATTCAGGGAAATGAAGATTGAGCCGGCAGCAAAAGACAGACTGAGAAGGAGCAGCCAGTAAAGGAGAAATGTCAAGCAAGTGTAGAAATTTGCAAGCCAACTGAAGAGTGCTTCAAGGTTAAATGCTGGCTGCTGATTAGATTTAACAATGTGGAAATCTTTGGTGAGTTTTACTAGGAGTAGAGGAGTGGAGACAAAGCCTAATCACCTGTCAGATGACCTAACCAAGTGTCCAAACTTAACAGCCTGAAAAAGCCATAACTGTATGATGCAATATGGAGACCATAGCATCACCTTGCACTCTTGCATACAAAGTTTAACCTGAAACTTAAAAAATTTAGACCTTTCAGTTTACAGGAAGTTCAAAGGGATATTAGAAGTTAAATTAATGACACTACAAAGGAAAACTCTACAAGACAACAGGCCTAGTATTTCCAGAAAGTGAGAATCTTAAATGAATCCTGTTTGGGGGATGAGGGTAGCTATTTACAAAAGAGACACATGGAAAAATCTGAAATAAGAACTTGATGTTAAATTAGGGAAGTATTTTAAGTGGGGCAGTGGTATTGAGAATATTATATAGAATCATGTTCTTAGCAGATGTATGTTTAAGTATTGTCGTGTCTACGACTTTCCTTGAAATATTTCATGTAAAGCAAATATGCCAAAATATTTTAAAAAAAGAAAAGTGGTTCTGACAGCCATTTCCAACTATTCAAACTAATTGATATTCACTTACTCAGAACTTCTTCAACCATTACTTCTTGAGAACCTACTCAATGCCAGACAGTATTCTAGGCAAGGGATAAAGTGTGTTGAGGAAACAGACATGTTCCCTACTCTCATGGAAATTACAGGTCAGTGAATAAGACTGACAATGAACCCGAGAGGTATAGAACTAAAAAGTTTGATAAATTAAAGAGAACAACAAATGGTAATGTAGATGAAGGTGGTGACTACCTCAGATTGGGAAGACAGAGGAGAAACGTTTGGGAAATTGCATTTAAGGGAAGAACCAAAAAATACAGATCTTTTTGTAAAGATTGAGGAAAAGAGTGTATTTGAAAAAAAGAAGCATGTGTGCAAAGGCAGCCTCACACTTTTCTGCTCAGTGTTCAGTTGACACCTGCCCTTGTTTTGCTTCTTCGTGGGTTATGCTATAGAAGAGGAGCATGAGGCAGCAGTGGAGAAGCAGGTAGCAGATCATGCAAAAACATACAAGAGCTCATTTCTTCCTAAATGAAAGGAGAATCCATTGAAGTTTTTCTTTTTTTCCTTTTTTTTTTTTTTTTTTTTTTTTTTGAGACTGAGTCTCACTCAGTTGCCCAGGCTGGAGTGCAGTGGCATGATCTCGGCTCACTGCAACCTTTGCCTCCCAGGTTCATGCGATTCTCCTGCGTAAGCCTCCTGTGTAGCTGGGATTACAGGCATGCCCCACCACGCCTGGCTAATTTTTGTATTTTTAGTAGAGATGGGGTTTCACAACATTGGCCAGGCTGGTCTCAAACTCCTGACTTCAAGTGATTCACCGACCTCCACCTCCCAAAGTTCTGGGATTACAGGCGTGAGCCACCACACTCAGCCCAACAA
Source organism: Homo sapiens (assembly GCF_000001405.40). Taxonomy (NCBI): domain Eukaryota; kingdom Metazoa; phylum Chordata; class Mammalia; order Primates; family Hominidae; genus Homo; species Homo sapiens. The sequence continues at coordinate 147,472,519 of NC_000007.14, forward strand.
CGATTTTTAAAGTAGCGTGACATGTGAAAGATCAGTCTGCCATTTTATTGAGAATGAATTAAAGCAAGGCAAGATTTGGAAGGGGCAGTCTAGTCAAGAAGCTGCAAAATGGGGTGGGTGGGGTTAGGAGGTTGAACTGGAGTGGCAGAGACACAGAAAAGTGGACAGATTGGAGCCAGTTTCCAAACTTCTGTTTACAAAGCTTTGTTAATGATTGATGCAGAAGTGAAAGGAATGTGAAGAATGACTTCTGGTTTCATGGTGCCATGAACTGTGATGAGGGTGAGCAGAGGAGTAGCAAAATTAGAGAATAACATCCAAAGATATGTTTGATCATATTCACCCAGCAATGCCTCTGATACCTCTAAGTGATTATATCAAGAAGCAGGTGGAGTGTCCAAGTTTCAGGCTCTCAAAGTCTCAACTAGAGATACAAGTTTAGAGCCTTCTTAGAGAAAGCTAAGGGCTGAGCCCTAAGGATGCCAGAACTCAGAGTTGAGGCAGTTAAGGAGGGGCCAGGAAGAAACAGGGATCAACTCAGGGCAATAATGTGAGTTCAAATACGTTCATAGACTGAGAAAACGGAGGTTGTGAATGCCTGTGAGAAAAGGAGCTTTTGTGGACAGATGAGAGTGGATTTCAGGTTGGAGTTGACTGAAGTGTTAAGAGCTTGCTTCAGTGAATCTTTCAAGGAGTTTGTCTATGAAAGGGATTAGGGAAATTAGGAACTGGAGAGGGTTATGGGGCCGAAAGGGAGAGTTTTGTCATTTGTTTTAGGTAACATTAATGACCACATATTGAGAGAAGTAATGCAGAAGAAAAGTTGATAATTCTGGAAAAGTGTAAGTTGAATGGGTTGACAAAGCCAGAGGAGATAGGACACAGAGCTCATGCCCACAGAGACGCTCCTTTCAAATAGCGGCAGCACCGGGAGAGTTTCCTCTGTTCTGGTTGTGTAATTGTGTCGAGGGTCCAATTACCTTCCTGAATTTTTTTTTAATGTAAGTAATTTGTTTTAATTGACAAGATAATGAATACCTTTGGTTTAATTTATTTTTAATAATACGAAAGGGAATATGGTCAAATATAAGTTTTCCCTGCACCTCAGGTCCTCTCCAAGGAAACCACTGTAACAGCATCCAGTGTCTTCCTTTCAGAAATATTCTATTCACAGATAAGAATATTTATGCCTATGTAGATAGATAGATATGGATATAGGTGATTCTACATTTCTGTGGTATCAGTCACATTCTGAAGAGGACAGAACTGATCCACTTAAATTCGGGTGCGGTGGTTCACACCTGTAATCCCAGCACTTTGGGAGGCCAAGGCGGGCAGATCACCTGAGGTCAGGAGTTTGAGACCAGCCTGACAAACATGGAGAAACCCTGTCTCTACTAAAAATTCAAAATCAGCCGGGCGTGGTGGCACATGCCTGTAATCCCAGCTACTAGGGAGGCTGAGGCAGGAGAATTACTTGAACCTTGGAGGCGGAGGTTGTGGTGAGCCGAGATCGCACCACTGCACTGCAGCCTGGGAGACAAGTACGAAACTCCGTCTCTAAAAAAAAATAAATAAAAATAAAAAATAAAAAATAAAGTTTTGTTTTTACAAATGGTTGAATTACAAGGGATAAAGGGACCTACACAGATAATGCAGGAATCCAGGGCTGGCAGCTATAGAGCTCACACCACCCTGGGCCCAAGGATATGATGGGGTTGCAGAGATTAGAGAGCTCAGATGTGTTTGAGAACTGAAATGAGCCACAGTTTTTTAAAAAGTGTGACATTCTTGGCCGGGCACGGTGGCTCACGCCTGTAATCCCAACACTTTGGGAGGCCAAGGTGGGCAGATCACCTGAGGTCAAGGAGTTCAAGACCAGCCTGGCCAACATGGTGAAACCCCGTCTCTACTTAAAATATAAAAATTAGTTGGGCATCTGTAATCCCAGCTACTCAGGAGGCTGAGGCAGGAGAACTGCTTGAACCCAGGAGGTGGAGGTTGCAGTGAGCTGAGATCGCACCATTGCACTCCAGCCTGGGGAACAAGAGTGAGATTTTGTCTGAAAAAAAAAACAAGAAAAACAAGTGACATTCTTGTGACAACCAAAAACACTGAAAATAAAAACAAATCATTATAATATAGTGTAGCACAGAGCAGACAAGAGAAGTGACTTTCTTACTGAAGGCTGACTGAGGCAGTCTCACAAGAAAGAACCAGGAAAATGCATAACCTGACCTAAATCTTCTCCCCACTCTAATCTGCTGATAGGGTAAGCTCAATCAAGGAGAAGTTTAGGATCTCTCAGTGTACTCTGCCTTATGGAGCTGAGGGCAGGGAGGGGAAAGCTGAAGAGTGATTCTTGGAGGGGAAAATGGAGATTTCTGACCTTCATGCATCACCACAATCAATTCACTATTCACACAACAGCTAGAACAATCGTCATTTAAAACAAATGGAAGCATATTATAAACGCTGTTCTGTCCCTCTTGCTTTCTTCCCCTGGCAATATATTTTTGAGATTGTGTCTTATCAGTACACATAGATCTGCGTTGTCTTTTTAATGGCTGTCAGGGGTTACATTGTACAGACTCCCTTAATTTATTACTAAGTTTCTAACCAATAAATATTTTTCCCTAGATTTTTTGGCTGACACAAACAATGATGCAATAAACATTTTTAAATATGATTTGGGGAAAGTACACTAGTGCGTGTATAAGATAAATTCTTAGACATGAAATGACTAGGTCTCAATATATGCACATTTGAAATTAATAGACTTTATCAAATTGTTCTCCAGTGTGCACTCTGATCAAAAGTGCATGAGAAGGCTTTTCCCATTAAATATCAGAGAGATGTTCAATGAATCTCATTGAAATTTAATTTGGGCTGCTTTGATTATGAATGATGTTGAACATTTTCTATATGTTTAAAAGTTATGTGTTTTTTTTTCTGTGAACTGCCCTGTTCAAACCCTTTACTCATATTTCAATTATATTGTTTCTTATTAGTTCCTGAGTATTCTTCATAGGATAAAGAAAATGGTCCTTTGTCTACCATATTAAAATATGCTTACCAATTTGTCTTTGTATTTGGCTATGTTTGGTCACTCAAGATTTAAAAAAAAAATATGTAGTCAAATTTATTAATGGTTCCTGGATTTGTGTCTTCATTAGAAAGGCCCTCTATATTAGTTGTTTATAAAAAGTATTCCACCATACCTTATTATGTTTTATTGCCACATACGTTTAAATCTTTCATCTATCTGGAATTTATTTTGGCAAAGGAAGAAGGAGGTCTCACTCTTTTTCTCACATGATAGCTGATTGTCTTACATCATTTACTAAGTAAAGCACTTTCTCCACTGACTTAACACTGTTAACCTAATTTGTATAAGTCTTTGTATTTATTTCTGGATTTTTAATTCTATTCTATTGATCTATCTATATTTTAATACACCAATATTAGTTTATATTTACTGTGGGTCTAGTAAATATTTTATCTACTATCGATAATCTTACCTGTTAAGCTTTAATTTCAGAATATAATATCCCCGCCTCTGTTTATTTTTATTTTTTATTTTTATTTATTTATTTATTTATTTTGAGACGGAGTCTCGCTCTGTCACCCAGGCTGGAGTGCAGTGGCACGATCTCGGCTCACTGCAATCTCCTCCTCCTGGGTTCACACCATTCTCCTGCCTCAGCCTCCCGAGTAGCTGGGACTACAGGCGCCCGCCACCATGCCCAGCTACTTTTTTGTATTTTTAGTAGAGATGGGGTTTCACCGTGTTAACCAGGATGGTCTCAATCTGCTGACCTCATGATCCGCCCACCTCAGCCTCCCAAAGTGCTGGGATTACAGGTGTGAGCCACCGCGCCCACCTCTGTTTATTTTTTATATCAATTTTAGATTTCATCATGACTTTTTAAGTTTCCCGTTAGTAGTGTTTGTGGTTATATTCTCCCAACATCTAGGTACCTTGGATGTCTTTCTCGCTTCCTCTCTCTATCTCTCATCTTCCTTCTACCTACATCTCACTATATACTCTCTCTCCTAGTTCATGGCTACCCATAAACTTTTCCTAGTCTGCCCCTGCAGTGTGTAATCAAAGATACACCAGGTTGGTCAGGCGCGGTGGCTCACGCCTGTAATCCCAGCACTTTGGGAGGCCAAGGCTGGTGGATCACTTGAAGTCAGGAGTTCGAGACCAGCCTGGCCAACATGGCAAAAATCTGTTTTCTACTAAAAATACAAAAATTAGCCAGGTGTGGTGGCAGGCACCTGTAATCCCAGCTACTCAGGAGGCTGAGACAGGAGAATCACTTGAACCTAGGAGGCGGAGGTTGCGGTGAGCTGAGATCATCCCACTGCTCTCCGGCCTGGGTGACAGAGCGAGACTCTGTCATTTAAAAAAAAAAAAAAAAAAAAGATACAGCAGGTTGTGGTGAAATAAAATGTATCTATGGACGTGAAGCAGATAACTCAAACTTGATACTTAAAACAAGTATGTTACATATTCCTGTGCATTTCAGAAAATTTACTTTGGGGCACAATATTTCTTGTATCTTTTTGTTATCGTCATCTTTTTTCCTCCAGTAAAAGAGATGAGATGGAAATAAGGCTAAATATTTTTTTGGGGAGAAATATAGTTTACAATTATTCTAAATTTAACCCATTTTGAGAAAACAAATTATGAATTTAAATTTAAAATTTACTTTTTTAAGAGTTTCTATCAAAACCTATCAGGTTTGAAACTTCCTTGTTATATAAGAAAAAGTATAACCTCAAACTGAAAATGCCACTGATTATCACTGGTTTCTACACACAGAATATCTGAGGCATCTTAATTAATTTACCTCCAAGTAATCAATTAATAATGTAACCCCTTTAATCCTTTTGGGTTTCTTGTGGTCTCATTCTACTCCAGGTTTTTAAGATTTTCTACTTGGAGCATTAAAATAGCTGTTGAGTTTATTTTGCCTTTAGTTTTTCCCTTTCCTGTCTATCCTGCACCTATTACTACCTTAATATTTTAAATATGTAGTTATCAAGTAAGTTCATTTTTGAAGACTTTCAGTGCTTTCCATGCCTAGTAAAAAATGTTCTAAATGCCAAAGCTAGTTAAAACCATTCAATTAGGGGTGAAGAGAATATATCTCCGTGGTGCATCTCTTGATGGCTGGCTTTATTTTGCCTCTGGATAAAGTTCAAAAATCCCTTGAACAGTGAATGGACTGTATATCATCACACAATCTCCCAGAAATATTGTTTCCTGCTATTTAACTTCTTGATAAGAAACCATAATCAAATGGCAGAGTTTACACCGTAGGTACTCAATAAATATAAGTCGAATGAACAAACAAAGCTACATTCTCCAAGAAAATCCCTAATGTAATAATTAATACATTTTGCAATCTGAACCCAACCTATGGTTGTACATTTAACATCTATCAGTTCAGTTTTTTCAGCTGCATATAACGCAACACATAAATGACTTAAATAATAGCAGCCACCAAATGTATTATGTCATAATAAGAAGGCAAGATATAGGTCCACATCAAAGTAGAGGAACTGCAGTCCTATTTTAGTTAGGATATGTATATTTGTTGTTTTTTTCTTTTTCTTTCTTTCTTTTTTTTTGGGTGGTGGGGGAGGGAGTTTCGCTCTGTTGCCCAGGCTGGGGTTCAATGACATGATCTCGGCTCACTGCAACCTCTGCCTCCCGGGTTCAAGTGATTCTCCTGCCTCACCCTCCCAAGTAGCTGGGACTACAGGCACCCACCACCACAGCCAGCTAATTTTTGTATTTTTATTAGAGACGAGGTTTCACCATGTTGGTCAGGCTGGTCTTGAACTCCTGACCTCAGGTGATCCATCTGCCTCGGCCTCCCAAAGTGCTGTGATTACAGGTGTGAGCCACAGTGCCTGGCCTATTTGTTGTTATAATAAAGACCCAAAATAACAGTGGCTTAAAACATCCAGAATTATATTTCTCTGTCATGAAAACCTTTGGGTAGGTGGCCCGGGGCTAGTATGCTACCCAAAGCTCAGATTACTTAGATATTTTCCTTTCATTCACTGAATGAAAGTTCTCACTATCACAGGTTCATTTCTGGAAGAAGATTGGGAAGGACAAAAAAGGAGAAATAGTTCATATCCTTCCCCTTTAGGAGCTTCATCCAGACATTGCACATGGCACTTCCATTGCCTTCAACTTAGCCACAGGGCCATGTAACTTAAAGAAAGCCTGGAAAATATTGTCTGTAACTGGTGGGGTTCTATGTCAAGACATAAATTCTATTGCTATAGAAGAGGACTGTAAATTTTGCATAACAATGTGCAACAGCTTAATGACTTTGTTAGGATGCCTGACTCTTTCCTTCTTGATCCTTGGAGACTGAAATAGTATCCCCTTCTAAAAGGCACAGGCCACGTGAAGGAGGCTAGATACTTGAGCAAGAGCAGGGTGACGACAGGAAGAAAGGGGAAAGGGCTGTGGCATGGGCATCCACAACTGTCTGCTGTGATCCTCATTCCTGTGTGCAGACTTTCTTCTCTAGCTAAACTCACTGATTTATTACTTCACAACCACATTCTGTGCTTAACTAAACATGCAGGCCCTTGTCTTCCCTCCACGTAGAAGGGGATTCCTCCTCCTTCCAGGCTACTCAAGTCTAAACTTTCTTTCAAAGATTTGTTATTCCATAAAACTTCCATACACGCATAAAACAATGGCCTATGATCTTCATTCTGTACCAGTTTTTCTAATATCTGGCATATGTATATAGAACTCATTTGCTAATTATGTTTGCATGAATAAAGACAATTTCTTTAGAATGAAACTTTCTTTATTCTTTGTTTCTCAGAGTTTGTTTTAGAGTGTCTTATGTGGAACAGGCGACTGACTGATTTGAAAGAACTTAGGGTTGTTTATTTAGGTTTAATACAGTTCAACCTGGAGACAGATGAATAGACAGATGGTTTTGCAGGTTCTTTTCCTGTGGGCCAGCAATCTTTCAAAAGACATTTTATTTACAAAACAGTGAGAAATATATTGTAAAAGTATAACTCTAAGTAAATTAGCAAAATGAGATAAAGTGAACTCTAGTTCATTATAATAAAAAAGATTTAAAAGGCAGAAAACCCAAGTTAAGTTGCTTATCTCATCATAGCAAAATTAATGATTAATAGATGTAGACCAAATATGCTTGCTTTTTTTTTAATGAAAAGTTTGGGCATAATGTCAGAGGTACAGTAAATATCTTAGCATTTAAACATTTCTATAAATAAATGCTTGTTGAAGGAGCTCCATCAATATTACAATAGTGTTTCTAGTTTTACCACTATAATGTTATGTAATAACAACATTTTAAATTAGTTACTGGAATTGTGATTATTTTTCTAAATAATTTCTATTTGAATAAAATAAATAGAAGGCAGGATAAAATAAATAGAAGACACTCCATAGAGAATATCCTTTCAACTGAAATCAAAATCTAGTTAGTATAGAAATAAAAGTACTCAAATATTGTTGAGATCAACATAGAAGGTAATGCAGAAGAAAATACTATGATTATGGAAACAGCTCTGAGAGTCACGAGTATGAAAAACAGTATTCAAGGAAGCAAGAATTCTAAATATATTTCTTGTCTTAATAAGCAAAAATAAAATTTCATGCTGAGATGAAGGGAACAACTCATAAATTAAGGAGGCAATTTATACTGGAATAATAACTTATAAATTGTTTTAAATAATGGGCCAATCATTTACAAAAATAAGCTATCAGTAACCTAGAAGCAGTCTTTTCTAAAGTTTAGAACAAGGCATATTTAATGTCCAGGTGTAAAGTTGGCATTAGTCTAAAAGCAAATTAAATATCCTAGCACTGTTATATGTATGTGGTCTAAGCATGGGGAAAGTCTTAGCTGACCCTGAGATTGAGAATGCTGAACTTGATTTTATGAAGAAGTGAAACTGCCTTTATAGTCAGTGATCACTTTCTATGAATTATATGAAGTCTACAGTCAGGTGCAGAAATGATTTAACTTGCTAAATGAGATTACAAAGATTATTATATGTCACTCTGAGTAGATCAGATTAAAACATGGCAGGAGGACCTATGGAAAAGCAGTCTTAGGAGAAATGACTGAACAGATCGTGTTAGCCCTGGCTGCAGGCTGTCTTCTCTCCTTGTGCTCCCTTCCTGGGCTGTTTCTCCTCCTACTCAGCAACTGCATTCTCCTTTGAGCCCCCGCTGCAGAGAAGTGCGATGCGCTAGAGCCTTGCTATTCCAACCGTGGTTCTCTGCCCGACCACATGAGCATCACCTGGGACCTTGTTAGGATCTCAGAATCCCAGACTCCAATCCTGACCGCAAGAATCAGAATCTTTAAGATTTTCAAGAGATTCCTATGCACACAAAGGTTTGAGAAACACTACTTTTGAGTGCCAAGGATTCGGTTTATACAGAACAGCAGTTATTCTGATACACACGGCACTGTTCATTGCGCTTGGTACCACCAGAACATATTTCCATGTGGATTTCTGGAGTCATGGTGCTATGACTATGGTTTTCATTTCAGGTTTTACAAGACCAAATATGGTTTTAAAGGTAACACAAAGACATTTTATTTTAAAATGTCTATTTTAACTTTAAGCACTGTAGATAAAAAGCCTTCAACGTGCGTTGATGATTACCAAGGCATACAGTTATGCTGTCAGGCTAACATTTTTTAGATTTGAAATAAAAGTTCTTCCACTATCCCTGCTTAATTAAACAATGTCCATAAACTACCAAGTAAGCTACTACAAACAAACAAATCTGGTACCATTTGCAGCTTCTTCTATTTGTGATTCCCAAAATTCCCAATGCTTTGCAATTAAAATCAAGTTCAGAAATAAAAGAGATGCTATGGGTAAAATAAAAGTGCAACTGTCATCCACAGCCCTGGATTGAATTGCAACATCCATCTAACCAGCCACTCTGTCCATGTTGATTTATTTTGCTTTAAGTAATTGCAGCCCATTTGACCTTCCAAAATATAGCTTTCATTTGTCTTATGTATTGGAGTCTAAATGAATTTTATTTGAATAAAATGCATTTGATTCTAAAGCATTTTGAAAGCTGGAACTAAGTATGAGTTCGATGGAGAAGGCAGGGCTGTCTGGAGCCCGAGTTAATTGGATGCATCACTTCTTCTGGAGTCACTTGATCACAACAAATTGACACCTGCCAACTTCTCCCCTGTACCTTCCTGATCCCGGTCAAGTCATTCTCAAGTAGAAGCAGTCGAGTCATTTTTATTCATTTTTGATGTGAACCAAACTTTCAAGCTAGGACTTGCCATGAAACAAATTACACATTCCTTGTGGCTACTAAAAAAATTAGTTTATTAGCGCAAGAGTCTGGATTTGAGAATAAAATCATAGATACAAATAATCTATATTTCTCACAGTAAAAGAGATATTTCTTCTGAAATTACTTGTTTCTTGGTGGTGTAACATTCTAGCATTGCATTCATCCATTCTTTCAGTCAATGTGTCAATAGGCAGTTACTGAGCATGCACCTAGTTATGTAAAGAATTATAAGATAAAAACCCCTAATTGTAGGAATCTCAGTTCAGAAGAGACAGGTGCTCAACAAACCATTGCTAAGCAATGTAATAATGGTGTATTGGACATAGGTTACTAGTTCTGTGGAAATACAGAAGAAATAATAGGAAAGGGGTAGCTAGGTTAATTAGTATTTTGTTTTGCTTGGTAACTGGTCCTAACTTTTAAAATATATATATATGGCGATAGGGTTTGCAATTATATTTGAACAAGTTGGTTAGGAAATAAAACATTTTCCACCATTAAGAATTAGAATACCTATAATCATCACAGGGAGAATGTCAATTTTCAAAATAAGAATCAGGCCCGTGTGGTGGCTCACGCCTGTAATCCCAGCACTTTGGGAGTCCGAGGCAGGTGGATCACGAGGTCAGGAGATCGAGACCATGCTGGCTAACACAGTGAAACCCCGTCCCTACAAAAAATACAAAAAAATATTAGCCGGGCGTGGTGGCGGGTGCCTGTGGTCCCAGCTGCTCGGGAGGCTGAGGCAGGAGAATGGCGTGAACCCAGGAGGCAGAGCTTGCAGTGAGCCGAGATCGCGCCACTGCACTCCAGCCTGGGCGACTGAGCGAGATTCCGTCTCAATAAATAAATAAATAAATAAATAAATAAATAAATAAATAATCGGCCGGGGGCTGTGGCTCATGCCTGTAATCCCAGCACTCTGGGAGGCTGAGGTGGGTGAATCACTTGAGGTCCGGAGTTCGGCACCAGCCTGACCAACATGGTGAAACCCTGTCTCTAATAAAAATACACAAATTAGCTGGATGTCGTGGTACACACCTGTAATCCCAGCTACTTGGGTGGCTGAGGCAGGGGAATCATTTGAACCCAGGAGGCGGAGGTTGCAGTGAGCCGAGATGGTGCCACTGCACTCCAGCCTGGGTGACTCTGTCTCAAAAATAAATCAGTAAATAAATTAATAAATAATAAAAATAAGAATTATAAGAAAGAAAAATATTAAAATTGTATCTAAATAAAAAATACTTTTAAAGAAATCCTTAATACTGAATTTTTGAAGTACAGTTGGACCTCTGTATTTGTGAATCCATCAGTGGATCCAACCAATGGCAAATAGAAAAAAATTAAAAATAATACGATGATAAATCTAAGTAATCTAGAGATGATTTAAATTATGTGGGAGGCTGTGCATAGGTTATATGCAAATACTACACCATTTTATAACAGGGACTTGAAAATGCGTGGATTTGGGTATCTATGGGGTGGGTGGGGATTGGTGTGGAACAATCCCCTCACAGATAGAGAGGGATGACTTGTATTCATTAATCTCACTTGATGGATATATCCTTTTTGCATGCGTGTAAGAACACAGTAATCTTTTCTATCATCGAGATGATTTTCTACTCTGCCCATTATTTACACCACATTTAGATTCCAGCCTGGTTTTCCTCTGCTACTTAGTACCCTTCTGCACTACTTCCCCCGAATTAATTGATATAATGAGCTGATGTAAATTACTTTCAATATTAGGCTGAGCTAATATTAACCCGCAATAATTTAGAAAGTAAATATACCATACAACACCATATACGTACTGAATTCCAAAATTAAGTATCAAGGATGTTTTAGTTTCATGTAATTTTGAAGTGTCTAGCCCATTGCTTCCTTCCATCATATGCAGAACCACCTGCTCTGGATGTAAACACCTTCTGCTGTGTGTGTTCCCACGCCTCAGGGCCTGTACAGAATAGTGGCTATAGGAAAGGACCCTCACAACCCTGCACCTCCCACTGCTTTCACTCTTCCACCTCCTTATCAGTGCTTTTCTCGCCTATTCTGCTAGGAATGATTTTCAACATTTTAATCATAAACATACAACTCTTCTTTTCAGGCCCGGGTGAAATGTTCTGAACTTTATGAAGCCTTTGTTTATCATCCACTTGTAACTCCTCTAGTATCCAAATTTCTATAGCATTTCGTGTATCTTTTATGACTCATCAAATTCTTCTGGGTTTGCATTTTTCATGAATCAGATCCCCACCCCACCTCCACTCAAATTTGGAGATGAAACATCTTTGTAGCCTTGATAACACTGAGCCCAAATTTTATAAAAAAGTAAGTGTCTATTAAATTTAGGGTGAATTTTCCATCCCTCATGATAATTCAACAAGATGCTTTTGTTTATATTGTATTTTTCCCCAATGTTCTTCCTCTCATTTTCTTCTCTTGTAGTCCTGTCCATTCATTGAGTCTCAACCTAAAAGCTTTTAATTGTGCCCAAAATGTACATGATTCCTCATGTGAAATCCCGTAGTACTTTATTTGTCCCTGAATTATGCTGTTTTTCATTTCTTCCTTGCACTGTAGTTTTCATACATACTGTATCTACTTCTATATGAACTATGAGCTCTTCTGCAAGGCTGTGAATACAGTCGTAGTCATCTTCTATTTTCCGTAGTGCTGTGCATATAGCAGGTGCTCAATCAATGTTTGTTTCAGGAGTAAAAGTTTGTAAAAAGTTGTGGAAGAACAGCAAGCTACTCAGAGCCAGGGGCTCCATGCCAAACTGAGCCAAGCCCAGCTACAGGTGGTTTTAGGCATGGCTAGTGGTAAATTGAGAACAGGAGTTGGAGAATGCTATTTCTGAGGCCAGCTCTATCAGATTTTGTAGCAGGGAGCTGCTAGGGCATTATGATAAAGGGGTGGCTCTTTATCTGTCCTTTGCCAGTGACCCATGATTATAGATTCTGCTATTTTAATCTGGGAAAGTTTTCCTGTTTTTGAGAGTTCCCTACTAAAGTCTAGATGTCCTTTGTGAATACTGGTACATCACAATGAATACCTTTGTTATCTGTGAGCATCTTCAGCAGGATTATAACAAAAATCAGGTTGTGGGGTAGATGGAGACAGGAATTGATGGGAGGGATGAGTGGATGGAACCAGGAGAAAGGGTTTGTGCCATTGAAACAGGGGTGTTTCAGGACAAATTTCAGCCTCACAATTTCTGAGGTACAGTAAAGCTGTGCCCTGGAGGCTGTGTTTCAGAAATCTAAAGCTTCCGTTTATTGGCCCACTATTTCCTGCCTATTAGTTGTCTGTTAATACTTCATGAACATTATCCTCAAACCTTAAAATTATTTGTAAGATAGAATTATCCTATTTTTCAAAGGTGAAAACTAAGGTTCAGAAAGGTTCAGTTAAGTAGCTACAATTAGTCATCTTAATAAAAAGATATAGATTTGAACACAAAACCTGTATCTTTCCTTCTGTATTATGCTTGCTGCCTCTTTCAGCAGGCTGCTTTAGTTATCCAGTGGGAAATAGGTGTTTGGGAGACTTAGAAATCTTTTCTTTCTAAGTTAGTATATTTTCATTGCTGTTATCATGACGTTATTTCAAAAACTCAAATTGCTATGAAAAACTTGATGATACCCCTCTTTACGTCAGTTTTTGGCTTGACAAAGAATAGAATAAAACAAGAAATAAGACAGCTTATCTTCGATCTTTCACCAGGAGGGAACTTAGCTGCTGTCTTTGTTTTGGGGTAAAAGAAAAATAAAATGAATCTGTGATATTCAAGTAAATCCCTCAGTTGTTTGTTAGTGTCTACTGTTTACTCAAAAATGGGAAGCTCCAGGTCGGTGATACATCATCTTTGTTGCGCTTGGCACCTTCTTTCATGAATCATATTAATCTGCTTAAACTAACAAGGATTAATTGCCTTGGTAAGGCAACCTGGCATTGAAATGATATATTGCCCAGACAGCTTGGAATTTGGCCACTCATAAATCTCATTTGTTTGTTGGTTTATTTCTGTTTGTCTCTCTCTCTGACAGATGTGTGCCCAATCACTGTGAGCATGGTGGAAAGTGCTCGCAAACATGGGACAGCTTCAAATGCACTTGTGATGAGACAGGATACAGTGGGGCCACCTGCCACAACTGTGAGTGCCAATTTATCTCACTTTAATCTTGTAATTGCATGAGAATCTCAAGTCTTGAGCTGTGCTTTGAAGCTCAGCAACCTGAATAATCCACATAATACATCACTCGAATCTGAAAAACCAAGATTCCAATTGTCATTTCTCCAAAAAAAAAAAAATAAAATACACTATTCTACTTGTTAAAATATGTTCTCTGGTGGCAAAGGACTCAAAAAGAAGGACCAGCATTTCCTCTGTTCCATAAACACATAGTTGAGATTGGAAGTCCAAACTTGGATTCGCCTCTCTGTGTCTAACCCACATCTGTTGGGTCGATTGTTTGGGAAATCGTGTTAGTGTGATGTCTCTGACTGGACCCTCATTTATTAATTAATCCGAGAGGGAGACACAGGGTAATTGGAACATTTAGTTTCTGGATGATGGCTGCCTCATGCTTTAGCCCAACTATTTGACTACCTTTTTTTAGATCAAAGAAATGAGTCCGAAATGGAATATCTAAAAGCCAATAGATAAAATACATAAGAAGGTAATAAAATGAAGACATAAGAGGGTAAAAATATTTTAAAATGGCAAAAATAAAAAGTAACATGCAAAAATGACTAGGAAAACACATATGTGCCTTGGTTTATATAAATAGCTTTATTCCAAAAGGTTAAATAAAAAATAAATTTCTGTACTTAAAAAATTTAATGCTAACTCTTATAATTATAATATTAATTTTCCAATAATGCATCGCCATTTGCAGAACGCTTTTGAAAACAAAGCACTTTTGAAAACATATTTGGCATGAATCACATAATTACAAGAAGAGAGTCAACTGTTGGTTAGTGTGTGCATACGTATGTGCCTGTGTGTGTGTGTGTGTGTGTGTGTGTAGGGAAGGAAGAGCAAGAGAAAAAGAGAGATTCAACCTTCTCTCAATATGCCCAAACACTGAAACTCTAATATCTAAATCCTCCGATTATACAAACAGATTTCACTTTACTTTTAGGAAATGGTGACAAGCAAACTATCTCAGAGTAGAGCCCTGTGTACAGTAAAAATGTCATACAGCTCTCTAAGCCTTTCCATTGTGTTATTTGTAGTAATGTGCAAGAAGAAATCGTGTTTTGAATATATTGTAAAATGTTGACTTACAAAGTTGCACACATTTATTTGTTTAGGTAGATATTCAAAAACAAGAGGCAAAGGAAATCTTGACAAAACTAACAATAGAAAGATGTCAAGAAGGTCAAAATTGATACTAGATTCATTATCTGTGTTTACATATATGAAAGTATTTTAATGAATAAAGAACAAAAATGATTGATACTGAAATTAATTCAAAGAGTTATAACTAAAATTGTTCCTTACCAATCACATCAAAATATTAACCTCCAGTATGTGACATTTATTAAATATAACGTGATGCTAGAATTACATTGATGAAACTCAGTGCCTTCACTCCACTAGCATAATTTTTATCGTGTGTTATAAATACCATATTTAATTACACGGGATCTTGTTCCTGAAATACGATAATGCTAACCAATGGTCAAGAGCAAGAAATCGGTGGTGGTTGCAAGGATTTTCTATCTCAGTGATGGCTTTTACATTGAACTGAAAAGCAACTTATTCTTTTTTTATAACTGTTTCCATCCTTAAAATACACAGCAAAAAGGCAAAAAAAAAAATTAAAATGTATGCTACTGGTTGAGTAGCTGAGGTTTGTTTTGTTTTTTAAGGGTAATGACTCCAAGGATTAGAAATGTCCTAAGTGTGTTTAGGTTTGGTGCTAGTGGCCAGCTCCAAAGGTAAAAGACAAAAATTGTCTTTTGTTCTGCTGCTCCTTCCTACTTGTTCCTTGCTCCATTTTGTTGGATCTTTAAAAGCAGAATCATTCTTTTTAATAATAAAAGCCTGATCTTTTGTTGTCTTCTCCAAATGAAGCCAAAATTTTGAATATCCAACGTGTGCATAAATAGAGGTGAAAAGACCATACTACATAATTCAAGAGAGGGTTGGCTGGTGACTTTTTCTTTCGAAAAATATACATTGTAGCTTATTGAAGGCCATTTGCCTCCTAATAACCTGAAAGACTTGATACAGTCTTACTTATCCAAATGGATTAGTTAAAAATTTCACACAGCACAAATGTAAGAAGATACAATGTATGCCATTCAGTTTGACACAGAATGAACAATTTTACATTTTTGCGAAATCAATGACCACATTCAAAGCAAGAAGAACGAAGTGCGAAGGCCCCAGTTTCTGATGTGTCTGACGCTAGCTATAAAACCATCAGGCCGTGTGCCTTTGTGGTCAATCATTTGACTTTTCTTGCACTTTGTTCGACTGAAGTCTCTTGGTATTCTACAAGCCAGTGAGCTGAGATTTGCAGTTGCTTATTCTGTATTCTGTGGGTTTGAACTGTGTAAGTAACATAAAATATTTTGCTTCATTATTTCCTGCAGAAGACCAAGCATTCATCTTGAAAAGAAATCATGCTAATTATTTTAAATAGTATTTTTTTTTAAAAAAAGCAGCTAACTAAGAGCTAAAGTTTAATATAATAGAACATTTGTTAGAGTTTCAAACATTACAGGCTACAATATTTTAGCACACCTTCTACACTAGCCCGGGCTTGGTCAGGATGAGACAG